>NW_003315908.1:0-143390 GCF_000001405.40 Homo sapiens | reverse complement strand
GAATTCTACCAAACATTTAAGGAAGAAATTAAACCAATTTTCTACAATCTCTTCCAGAAGATAGAAGCAGAGGGAATACTTTCTAACCTATTCTATGAGACCAGCATTAGCCTTATACCAAAGCTAGACAAAGATATTACAAGGAAAAAAACTACAGACTAAGATGTCTCATGAATATAGATGCAAATATCCTGAAAAAAAATTAGCAAATTGAAACCTATCATGTATAAAAAAGAATTATACAACATGACCAAATGGGATTTATCCCAGATATGCAATAGGGGTTCAATGTCCAAAATCAATTAATGTAATCCATAAAATGAACAGGCTAAGAAGAAAAGTCATTTAACCATATCAATAGATACAGGAAAAAGCACTGGACAAATTCAACACCCATTCATGATAAAATCTCTCAACAAACTAGGAAGAGAGAGGAACTTTCTCAACTGGACAAAAAATATCTTAAAAAATTTTTATAAAACCCTACATCTAACTTCATACTAAATAGTGAGAGACCTAACTCTTCCCACTATGGTCAGGAACAAGGCAAGGATGCCCCGTCTCACCACCAATTTTCAACATTGTACTGGAAGTCCTAGCCAATGTAATAAGACAAGAAGAGAAAACAAAAGATACATTGAATGGGAAGAAAAAAATAAAACCCTCTTTGTTTGCAGTGGCAAAATTGTCTACATAGAAAAATACAAAAGAATTCACGCACAAAAATCTGGACTAATACACAATTATAGCCAGGTTGCAGGATACAAGGTTGATGTACAGAAGCTGATCATTTTCCTATATACCAGCAACGAGCAAGTGGAATTTGAAATTAAAAACACAATGCCATTTACATAAGCCTAATAAAATACGTATAAAATCTATATTTGGAAAACTACAAAAGTCTAATGAAAGAAATTTTAAAACTAAACAGATGGAGAGACGTTTTGTATTTATGGATAAGAAGACTCAGCAGTGTCAAGATATCAGTTTTTCCCAAGTTTATCTACAGAGTCAATGCAACCCCAGTCAAAAATCCCAACAGTTATTTCATAACTGTTTTTTAAATCAGTTATTTCAAAACTGATTTAAAATTCTGTATACATAGACAAAAGACTCAGAATAGCTAACACTACATTGAAGAAGACCAAAGTCAGAAGACTGACACTACCAAACATCAAAATTTACTACAAAGCTACAGTAATCCAGACAATATGATATTAGTAAAAAAATAAATACATCAATGAAACCAAATGGAGAACCCAAAGACAGGCCCACATATAATCAACTGATCTTTGACAAAGAAGCAAAAGCAATACAATGGAGAAAAGATAATCTTTGTAGGCCAAGGCAAGAGGATCACCTGAGGTTAGGAGTTTGAGACCACCCTGGTCAACATGGTGAAACCCCATCTCTACTAAAAAATACAAAAATTAGCCAGTTGTGGTGGCCCGTGCCTGTAATCCCAGTTACTCGGGAGGCTGAGGCAGGAGAATTGTTTGAACCTGGGAGGCAGAGGTTACAGTGAGCTGAGATCATGCCACTGCACTCCAGCCTGGGTGACAGAGCGAGACTCCATCTCAAAAAAAAAAAAAAAAGATAATCTTTTTAACAAATGATACTGCAATAACTAAACACTCAATGAATGTAGACACAGACCTTAAATCCTTCACAGAAAGCTCAAAATTGATTATAAACCTAAATGTAAAACACAAAACTTTAAAACTCAACTACTAGAAGATAACATAGGAGAAAATCTAGATGTTATAGAATATGGCAATGACTTTTTAGATATAACACCAAAGGCACAATCCATGAACAAAACAATTGATAAGCTAGACTTCATTAAAATTGAAAACATCTGTTCTACAAAAGACATTATTAACAGAATGAGATGACAAGCCACAGACTAGAAGAAAATATTTGCCAAAATATTTATCCTTTACCTGATATAGAACTATTACCCAAAATATACAAAGAACATTTAAAACTCACCGATAAGAAAACAAAGTAACATGATTTTAAAATGGGCAATTGTGCATGGATTGCTTGAGCAATCATCTGTCTGCCTGGGTGAGAGTGAGACCCTGTCTCAAAAAAAAAGGTGGGGAGGCAAAACATCTGAACAGACACCTCACCAAAAAAAGACATACAGATGGCTAATAAGCATATGAAAACATGCTCAACTTCATTGATATTAGGGAACTGCAAATTAAAACAACAATGAGACACTACTATATACCTATTAAAGTGGCTAAAATCTGAAATACCAATACCACCAAATGCTGGTGAGGATATGCAGCAACAGGAACTCTCATCCATTGCTGGTGAAAATGCAAATTGTACAGCTACTTTGAAGACAGTTTAGCAGCTTCTTACAAAACTAGAGATACTCCACATCCTATGATCCAGCAATCATACTCCTTAGTATTTACACAAGGGAGTGGACAACTTGTGTTCACACAAAAGTGCATACACCAGTGTTTACAACAGCTTTATTCATAATTGCCCAAACTTGGAAGCAACCACGATATCTCTCAGTAGAAGAATGGATACAACACTGTGATATACACAGACAATGGCATTTTATTTACACTAGAAAGAAATGAACTATCGAGCCATGAAAAGACATGGAGAAACCTTAAATGCATATTACCAAGTGAATAAAGCCAATCTGAGAAGGATACATACTTCATGATTCCAACTATTTGACATTCTGGAAAAGGCAAAGCTATGGAGACACAAAAAGATCAGTTGTTGCCAGGGGTTAAGGGAGAGGGAGAGATGAATTGCAGAGCACAGGGGATTTCTAGGGCAGAGATACTACTCTGTATGATACTATAATGGTAAATACATATCATAATACATTTGTTAAAACCCATAGAAGGTATGACATCAAATGTAACTCCATTGTAAATTATGGACTGGTGGTGATAACGATAAATCAAGACAGATTCATTGATTATAACAAATGTACTATCGTTTAGGATATTAATGAGGAAGGTTATGCATGTGGAGGCAGGATGTATAAGTGGATCAAATGTCCATCAACAGATGAATGAATAAACAAAATGTGGTATATGTACAATGGATTATAATTCAGCCTTAAGAAGGAAGTTCTGACCACATGCAATAACATAGATGAACCTTGAGAAAATTCTATTAAGTTAAATAAGCTAGTCACGATAAGACAAAAACTATATGACTGCATTTATATGAAGTATCTAGAATAGTCAAATTCATAGAAACAGAAAGTTGAATTGTTGGTTGCCAGGGCCTACATAAAGCAATATATTAGTTTACTATGGCCGCCATAACAAAATACCAAAAATGGACTTGCTTAAACATCAGAATTTATTTTTTCACAGTTCTGGAGGCTAGAAGTCAAAGAATAAGGTGGCAGGTTTGCTTTCTGCTGAAGCCTCTTTTCTTGGCTTGCAGATGACTACCTTCTTGCTGTGTCCTCACATGGTCTTTTCTGTGTGTATGCATTCAACTCTGGTGTCTCTTTTTGAGTCCAATTTACCTCCTCTTATAAAGGACACCAGTCAAATTGGATTAAGGCCCACCCTAACAGCCTCATGTAAACATAATCATCTCTTTGAAGACCCTATTTCCAACTACAGTCACATTCTAAAATACAGGGGTTAGAACTTCAACATGTAAATTTTGGAGTGACTCAATTCATCCCATAATGGAGACATAGAAAGTGGCTGTTTAATAGGTATAGAATTTCAACTTTGCAAGATGAAAAAGTTCTGGAGATTGGTTGCAAAACAATTTAAATATATTTAACACTACTCACTGTACACTTAAAAATGGTTAACATGGTAAATTTTATGTGTATTTAACCACAATTAAAAATATTAAGTTTTCAAAAAGGTTAAAATATACCTGATTTAAAACAACGGAGGAAAGAACCAGGGAAACTGAAGTGAAATCGATAGAAATTGCTCATTCGTACAACAGAGAAAAAATTAACCTCAAATAAACAAACAAAACCCCAGAGCATTGGGGACCTATGGGATGAGATCCTAAAATCTAATGTTTTTATTTTTGGAGTCCAATAAGGAGAAAAGAAGGAGTCGAGATTTAAAAAAAAAAAAAAAAAGTGAAGCTAAAAATAATATTTAAAGGAAAAAGTTGTAGTGTTTGACAGCATGGTAGGGTGACTACAGTTAACAACAATATATTATATATTCAAAAATAACCAGAAGAGAATATTTAAAATGTTTCCAACACAATTAAATGATAAATATTCAAGGTGACAGATATACTAAATACCCTGACTTGATCATTACACATTATTTGCATATGATTTGTTTGCATTTACATATGATATTCTCTGTCAGATGCAAACATATCATATTCTGTGTCAGAATATCATATGTAAAAGATAAATATGTATAAATATTGTGTAGCAATAAAAAGCAAAAATGAAATGTTCACAAAATCCACAAATGTGTAAAAAGAATTATGCTCCATGACCAAGTTAGAGTTATTCCAGGTATGCAAAGCAGTTTCATCATTTGAATATCATTTTAATATATCATATCAGCAGGATAAAAAGAAAAAAACATATGGTCGTATCAGTGGATGCAGAAAGAGCATTTGACAAAATCCAATACCTATTGATGACAAAAACTCTCAGCAAACCAGAAGTAGAGAGGAATTTCCACACCTTGATAAAAAACATTTTCTTAAAAAAACTTACAGCTAATATCATACTTAATGGTGAAAGATTGAATGTTTTCTAAGATTAGAAACAGATCAAGGATGTCTACTCTCACTGCTCCTATTCAACATATTACTGAGATTTTTAGCCAGCACATAAGGAAAAAAAATGAAAAGAAAGAAAATAAAAAGTAAAAGGCATATAGATTAAAAAAGAAGAAATAAAAAGCCCTTTCTATTTGCAGATGATATGATTGCCTACATAGAAAATCTTAAGCAATCCATAAATAAATAAATAAATAAATAAATAAATAAATCCTCTTAGTACTAAGTGAGCTTAGCAAAGTTTCAGAATACAAAGTGAACACATAAAAATCAGTTGGGTTTTTGACAATGATATTAACAATGATAATGCGGAAACCAAAACTAAAAACACAATACCATTTTTAACTATTACAAATAAAATGAAATACTTGGATATAAATATTTTTAAAAAAGTACAGAATCTGCATGGTGAAAATCACAAAATGCTGATGAAAGTAATCAAAGAGCACCTAAATAAATGAAGAGACATTGTGTGGTTCATTGATTAGAAGACTCCACAAAGATATCAATTATTTCCAAATCAATCTGTAATTTTAATGTAATTTCTATTAAAATCCTAGCAGAGCTTTTGTACAATAGACAAGTTCATTTTAAATTTTATGTGGAAAGGCAAAAGACCTAGAATAGCTAAAAACAATTTTTCAAAACATAATTAAGTAGAAAGAATCACTCTACATGCTGTTAAGTTTGCTATATAGCTACGGTGCTTAAGACTGTATGGTATTGGCATATTGATAGACATTGCAATGAGATAAGAATAAGAAACCCAGAAATAGACCCACACAAATGTGCCTAACTGGTTTTTTAACAAAGGTTTAAAATTAATGCAACAAATGGTGCTAGAGCTTTTTAACATTCATTGCATAAAAAAAAAAGAACTACCGCCACCTAAACTTACATCTTACACAAAATCTAACTCAAAATGGTTTATGAACAGTCAACAATAATTCAATTAGAAAATGGGCAAAAGACTTGAACAGACATTTCACTGAAGAGAATATAAAGCTAACAAATAAGCACATAAGATTTTCAACTTCATTAGCCATCATTAGCAAAATGCTAATTAAAATTACAATGAGATGTCACGACACACCTATAAGAGTGACTAAAATAGAAAGTGTGATAGCACCAAATGATGGTGTGGCAGTAGAGACACTAGACCACTCATACTCATGGTGGAAACATAAAATGGTACGACATCAGAACATCTTAGAGTTCTGGTTTTCATAAACCCCTATCTGTTTCTGGTGACCAAGGATTTAATTTTCTTTCTTATGGGTTCAGATCAAAATTTAATTCTGCATTATCTTAGTCTTCCATTTTACAGGAACCACAAAAACTTGTTTGAATTTCCTAATACATACATACATACATATATACATATCAAGCAAAACTGTGTATATTTAAAAAATAAAGTTTTTTTTAAATTAAATACATCTATCTGCTTGTGTATACTCAAATGTACACACAAACACTTTATTTTTTTAAACGCATAGTTTTTCTGAAAATAAAGATTTTGCTTATTTTCATTTTGTTCTTTTCACCTTTCTAAATTTAAAATATAAAAATAAACTTCATTTTTAAAAATAAATAAATGTATTTGATATCAACATAACCTTCAAGAACTAAGATAATTCCTACATTTATCATCTTCATTTATCATCTTTTATTTAGCTTTTAAAAATAACAAAAATTTCAAAAATTTCTTTCCTACCTCTTTATTCCATTATTCAACATTATCCATATGTTAATTTTTCATTAATCAAAATAGGACTTGGATCATTTAAAGTCTACCTTTGAGTGTGTTACCAGTTCTATTAAACCAGTCATTTTCTAATCTCTTAAAATCTTTTCCAATTTTATGCCTCAAAAAGAGGTCATTATCTAAATTCTGGAAGGCACCTAGAGACGGAAATATTGGCCAAAATTAATTAAATGAGCCCACTGCAAGAAAGCTCTTTTGGTGCCTTATGGAAATTTTGAGTTGTATGTAATACTATTTTAAAAGCACAAATCAAATGGTAAAATTAGACTAAAGGGATACCATCATATCAATTTTTACGTTGTCCTTAGTTCTGCTATTTTGACTTCTGTCCTCTTACTGGTAGACTTTAAGACTTAAAAGCTCATTATAAAAGATTTCAATCCGTTTCCCTGACTTTAACACTCCCTAGAAGTGTGAATTTTTTTCCTTTTTATTCCTACTGTGAGGGTATAACAGTTATATTATTCCTAGTGAATTTTCCCATAGCATTCAATCTGAATCAATTGAGATAATAAATCTTTGTGCTACATCTGCACTCAAAACTAGACACTTAATTTTCAAGATACCATATTTTAATCAGTCATCAGGGGACTCTTACCTGTCTCCAGTCTGGCTGTTTCAGAGGTAATTGGCATTAACAGAGCACTGAGGTGATTCCCAATCTAATCTCAATGTTAGTGAATTAGTGTATCTAAAATTGTAGATATAAAATGACCCTGAGCATCTAACCTCAGAAGTGGTGGCCTGAGACCAAGTTCGAATATTCTTATGGAGGGAACACTTTATAGGCTTACCAAGGATGGAAACAAAACACAGTCCTTCACTTTTCATAGGAAGAATAACAAAAGGGTGATCCATATGCCCTACATAATTACTAATCCCAAACATCCATCCTCCATCATTGTCAGAATAGCCAATCAAAGAATAGCACCAGGTCAGTATTTTTCAGCTTTATTAATGTAAGTATATTCCTATCAGGAGCTGAATCCCTAGTAGAGAATTAGAAGGTCTTCCCTGAGATATCCATTGTGCCTATCACTAACACTGCAAATCCAGGGAGAAAACTCACAAGCTTGAGTTGGCTTTGCATTCTCTTCTATAGCAAAGTGGAAGCAAACCAATACTCTAAAGTGTGACACGGGTTAAATAAGGAAAGCTTCAAACCACCTAAATAATCAAGTTATTGCAAATGGGAAAATGTCTTTTGAAAACAAGATGATAAGCGCTAAGAATAGATTTACATTTATGAAGTGCTCAGTTAATATTTGTTAAGTTCAACTGATAGATTAAATTGATCCAGTGTCAGAATGTTAATAAAAATTTAAGAACCGGGGTGGAGAGGTGGAGGGCAGAAAAAGCCCTTAATTTGTAGTGCTGCAGATTTCTGTGATGAAAATACTTGCACCACGGTTAATGCTTCCAACATAACGTCTGAACAGGGAATTGGGAAGAGATGCTAACTAACAGCTCTCACTGGCTGGTTGTATGGCTGGTTCCAGTACTCCACTGTGAACAAGACAAAAAAAAGACACTCAAAAAATATGTCTTAAGTGCCTATTAGGTGCTGGGCTATACCTTCATCATCATGAGTAATTTAGGCACAAGAGATATGTTTCACTGACCTCTGCATATTCCTTCGCATTGTCAAATATGGTGCACATTACATAGTAGATGCTCAAAACACATCTGTGGACAGAAATGGTATATTTACTTTTCACTCACAGTGTTCTGCCTGGAGTTCTGTATGGCTCATTCGGGATTCACCCCAGAGTTCACCCAAACTTCAACCTACATTTTTTAACCCCTCTAACTACTAACTTTGATACCCAACCAATGTTTATATTTTCTCCTGGTCCTGCCAGCTTGTCAGTTAACCCAGCTCTTCTCAGTTTGCAGTCTAAGATTCCTCTGCTGGCTACGTGTTCACCGCTCTCCCCGGGTCTCGCCCTCGGTGGCTTCCAATCCTTCCCTTCCCTCCCATATACACCCCCAGACAGGCCCCACCCAGTCAGCTGCACAAGCAGGACTCACATACCTGGAACACTCTTGACATATCTTTCTGTTATTCTTCTTGATTTCTCAACTTGTCTTTGGGAATTTTGTGGGGGGACTAGTGAAATCCATCTCTCTTTTTTTTTTTTTTTTTTGGAGAGGCAGTCTCGCTCTATCGCCTAGGCTGGAGTGCAGCGGCACCATCTTGGCTCACTGCAACCTCCACCTCCCAGGTTCAAGCAATTCCCCTGCCTCAGCCCCCTGAGTAGCTGAAATTACAGGCACCCGCCATCATGTCTGGCTAATTTTTGTATTTTTAGTAGAGATGGGGTTTCACCATGTCAGCCAGGCTGGTCTCAAACTTCTGGCCTCAAGTGATCTGCCCACCTCGGCCTCCCAAAGTGCTGGGATTACAGGCGTGAGCCACCTTGCCCAGCCCTATCTGCCTATTCTTGATTCTGATGTCTGACCTTCTGTCTCATTCCCCAAGGGAACCACAGCTTCTTACTGAAGAACCTCTAAGCTTCTGTTACTGCTTATAGCTCCTCAGGTCCTTTTGCTCTTTACTTTGGCATTATGCTGGGTTACTCTTAAAATTCCTTTTAATTAGCTATGTTTGAATCTGATTTTATATGAATATTCCCTGAGGTGTGATGCTGATTGACTCTTTTTTTATGAACAAAATTAATAAAATGTCCACTGATAGGATTTGCCTGTAGTCATCCTCTTTCAAACTGGGCTTCAATCAAAGCTACGTATCTTCAAATAGCTGGGTTACTTCACAATGATTCTTTTTTTTTCTTTTAATTCAACCACTGTATCCCATTCTTTTCCAAAAATATGAAGAACAAGAATGTCTTATTTTATTCTGCAAATTAAATCCTAGAAAAAATTAGAAAACTTAAGTAAACCCAATAGGAGATACGAAAACTAAAGACTAAGAAAATGTGGAGGTATTATCAACTGTACTCAAGTTTTCACTCTAGCATTCCTCTGGAAGCTTCCTCTGCTTTCCCCAGCTAATTTCTGAAAGTGCTAGACTGCAGTGAAAAGGAGCCAGGCCCCGCTCTGGTGGAGCTTAGTGAAACTGGGACCGAGATCACATCCAAACTCCAAGCTCAGTTGATTCAAGCGGTGATGATAAAGCATTCAGGTCAAGACACCTGCTGATTTGGGAATCCTGGTCTTTGGGATCTGACAGGGTAGCATCTCTGGCAGCTCAAAGGCTAGTACAGTAGCCCTGAAAGTCTGGGTACAAGCTCAAGTTAGAAGTACAGGGATGAAGTGAAAACCTCAGGTTCAGCCTTAGAAAGTAGAAGGTAAAATTGGAGAATCAAGCCAATCATAGAGGGGAGTGCCTGAGGGTCTCAGAGATATTTTGTGCCTGAGTCTGATGTGATTAACACATAAAACCTATACATTTTTAATATATACAACTTGTTGAGTTTAGATATAAGTATACACCAGTGAAACTATCAACAAAGTTTCCTCCTGCCCTTTTTATTTTTTTAGTATTTGTATGTGTTTATGTGTGTTAAGAACACCTAGCATAAGATCTACCCTCTTAGCAAATTTTTAGTATACTGGCAGAGGCCTTTTCAACCACATCCTTGCAACTGGGTTCACACCTATTACCCATAAAGTCCTTGCAGAAACATGAATTCTTGAGGCCAAATGTATTAATATTATTCAACTTTAGAAATAATAATTTATCTTTATATTTTCATGTATGAATTTACTGTTTACCATTTATGAATCAGGTTATTATTTCTCTATGGGGGAGGCATACATGGAATGGCTGAGATATAATGAAATCTGACACTCAAAATAAATGTTAAAAATAAGAACTATTAGGAAATAACCTCAGTAAAATAAATGGTATGATAAAAGATCTTAGATCTTCTAAGTAGAATTTTTTAGGTTGTTGTTTTATGTTAAATAGTTGCAACTTTAGAAAAATCTATAAAATGTGAGGAGGAAAAGGTTTTAAATAGAATAATGTTAAAACTATTATATTTTAGTGAATTATATTTTGAGTCAAAATTTGGTATTTATAATGAGCTTCAAGAGTACACAATTTTTTTAAATGTATGCTGAGACAATATTTAAGCTAAAGAGGCAAATTTTGCCAAATGCATGTACAGAGATGAACAAGCAAATAAAGAGATCCCAACAAAAGGGCTCCATTTTATAGCATTACTAAACCTTCATTGATATTCCCCATTCCTGAAGTCGCAAAGTCCTTGATTTCTTCAGTACATTGTTTCATCATAAGACTATTACAAATATAGGGGTTTTAAAACTCTAGTTAGAAAATTATGAATTCTGGTTGTTAGCTATCTGTAGGCATCAAAATATACTTCCCAGAGGGCCAGCATTTTACAAACAGGCGTAGAGCCACAATAAATTAAAACTTAGAGTAAAAATCACCAGTCTTTTGAATTGTGGAAATTATAAAATAAAACTTTCCCACTCTGGAGATGGCATTGCCAACATGTGTTTTTAGTCATAAACATGTCACACTTTACTGTTTCACACCAATCTCCATAACCACACTCTTTCCTCATACAAGAGCAGAATCTGTCTGCCTGGCAGTTAGGTGCTGGTAAACAGTGTCAGAAAAGCAAGTCTTCCATTATTTAGTCATGAGAAAAGCATAAGGAGAGGTAGAACCAAGAACCAAATGTCAATGATATTGCCAATTCCTACTAAACCCTCTGAAATGGGCAACTAATCTGTATGTCCATTGTTCACTCCATGACAACTCCTTCAAGAAAATCCTACCAGGTGATCAGGCTTATCCCAGACAACCTCAGAGAAACTCAAGAAGCACCAAATGAACAAATCACCTGACCTCAAGAGAAACCACAATTTCCATGACCATCCTTGGCTCAAAGAGGAGAATTTGGTCCAATAAGTAGGGACATGGTATATTTACTAATGAGCTATTGTGTTTATTTTCAAATTCTTGGTCCATTTCTTCTACAGCACCTTGCTTATCCGCACCCTTTAGTCACTAAGGGCTAGCATCAGCAGCGGTAAGGCTGCAGCAAAAATTCTCAAATCTCAGTTGCACAGTGTGTTTCTTGAGCATATCATGGGTGACTGCCAGTTCCATTTATCCCCAACCCTGACTTTGGTTAGGAGGGTCTCCATTCTTAAAATAGTTCCCAAATGGCTCTGTACTACCATGCAATAGACATCAGCTCTGTCTCAGGAATTTTTCTTGTTTTCAATTTAACTTCTATGAGACATTATTTTAAAGCAATTCACATATTTTGGAACAGGTTTCACATTACCACTTTGTGAAAAAGTTAATGAGCTTTCATTGCTAAAAGTAATTTGGAGTCATTAGGTATCAAAAAAGGGCATGGTCCATTTATTCCAACCTGAATTTTTTTGTATCTTATTGACCCTCCTTCTAGTAAGCATTTGCTTTACTATCCACAGAGCAGGCATAATGAGCAAGTCCCCTTGCACTGACTTCACGCAATCTAATGTTAGGTAGGCGTGAGAAGCAGAAAGTACCTTTCAATTCCATTCAGCAAGAATCCACAGTATACTTACAATTTCCCTGAACTATGCTAAGCATTTTGAGACCTATAAAGCTGTAAAAAAGATTCTCTGACCTCGAGTTGCTTATAATCTTGTTGCAGTAACTCATAAATCCACTGGCAAATAACACAGGATGTCATAAATTATTAACGTAACCAAGAAATCCCTCCCATATGTGTGCACGTGCACACACACACACACACACACACACTTTACACTGTAGAATGCTGAAAGGATTCCAAGACTGTAAATTCCATCTTCCTTCTCTTCTTCCAAAAATGGCCCTATGCTTTCACAGTATGCTGGATTGTCAAGCCCTGAAGGAATAATGCTTAACATTCCAAAGAATTATCCCCACTTTTCCCTCACGTCGTTGGGCAGTTGGCATTTATCTTTATATATGGTGGTAAGGAGATGGAAACCAGAAATGGGATCCATATCACGGAATTCAAGAGAAAGGACTTTGAAAAATACAAAGAGCTATATGAGTATAAAAAACTGTTAGATGATTGTCTAAAGGCAAGAACAAAAAGACTACATTAACAGGATCATTTTCTTCTCAGAAAAAAATTGCAGGAGCGTCTACCCAAGCCTGTAATAGAAAATTGGCCTGTGGAGTTACAAGATTGGTTACAAGATTTGATATAAAATAATCTCACCTCACCTATCAATCATTCCATGTGAACTATATCCAGTATAAGCTATGCTTATACTAACTGGTTAAACAAAAGGATCAAACGTAATTGTCATTTGCTCTGTAACAGTGTTTTTCAATTAGATTATAATGGATGATCCTAGTATATATGAATAAAAAATTATCAACAAATTATTACATACATAACCGCACCATAGAACATTATATTTAAAGGCAAATTATTTGTTAAAAGAAAAATGGTATCCATGTAGACCACTCTCCGTGAGTGCTCAATGCAATAACTGCATCCATTACTACCCCAAGTTGAAGGGAATGAATGAAAAGACCACTATGCTGTAAATCGCTTAGAAGCAGAATTTAGTTAATTGAGAAATTATGTTCAGGCTAACCTATCCAGATAGCGTCATATCTATGTGGAGTAAGTTAATAGAAATTCCATGCTAGCTCCATGAATTGGTTCAATAACAGGAAAAAATACAGATGAGGAGGAAGAGAGAACTGGCAATGTGAAGTGACACGTTTCAAAAACAATTCCTTTGTACTTATTCAGAGCTCCAAATCCATCCATACACATCACGGGAAATGTGACGATGCCCATGCACTTATCATTAGATTCACTCTCCAAAATGTCAACTACCAGAAATTAAACTCTTCCTGTAGGCCAGCTTGGTTTTTAAACACTATGTCTAATCTCGCAGCAACACCAGGACATAGGCTTCATTGTTGTACAGCTTTACAGATAAGGAAGTTGGGACTCGAAAGAGTTAAATGAGTTGCCCAAAGTCACAAAGCTATTAAATGACCAAGACAGGACTGGGATGAAGCTCTTGAGTATGAAGTTTGTGTAATATGTCCACTATGGCTAGCTGTATTAGTCCATCTTCACATTGCTAATACATACATACCTGACACTGGGTAATTTATGAAGAAGAGGAGGTTTCATGGACTCATAGTTCCATGTGGCTGGGGAGGCCTCACAATCATAGTGGAAAGCAAAAGGCACATCTTACATGGCAGCAGACAAGACAGAATGAGAGCAAAGAGAAAAGGGAAACCCCTTATAAAACCATCAGATCTCGTGAGACTTATTCACTACCATGAGAACAGTATGGGGGAAACTGCCCCCATGATTCAATCATCTCCCACCAAGTCCCTCCCATAACACAAGGGAATTATGGGAGCTACAAGTCAAGACGAGATTTGGGTGGGGACACAGAGCCAAACCATATCACTAGCTGTTTGCCAAGTAACAGAGAGGAAAAAGATTCAGAAATAACATTTGTCTCTGTCTGGGTATTTGCCTTAAACTGCAAGCTCCTGGAGGGCAGGGCAGCATGTGTTCCTACCTGGTTCTCCTTATATGGCACTAAGCAGTATGAGCAGGTGCTGTGGAATATCATTTGGTACTGAGAACAATAAAGAAGCAAGAACACAGATGATGGTAGGAGCCTAGCTTGCTGTCCTGCCTCTGAATTTATAAAAGGTCTCAGGAATGACATGCAGGATAGGGAAATATACAGCCTCTGAGCCTTGGTAGCTACATACAACTCACGATGCACACTGTCAATCTTGCTATGTTAACCGGCAAATGTCCAAAGGAGGCATTAAATCATTGCCAGAGACCACTCAGCTCACATTACGTTGTACTGAAGGGGGAGGAGGGGCAGATTTCAGAGTCCCACCTTCTTCCAAGCCCCCGCACTCTCCTCTATGTCTGCCCCGCAGCTCAGGCCTGGAATTTTATGTGCAGCAAAAAATCAAAGGTAAAATAAATGCTGAACAGCGATTGCTGTCATTGCCTTCCCCGCAGTCATTTCGCTATTAGCTGTTGGAGGAGCAGACCGTGTAGGCTGACGAGATCTGAGTAAGGACGAGGGATGAGATGTCAAGGCAGGGAACACGGCTGCCTTTGCGAGGTGGCTTTGACTCGCGCTGCAGACATCACACGTCAGCTCGGTGGAGACAGCAAGCAAACCCAACTGCAGCCGCAGAGAGGAAGCAAAAGAGGAGTGTGTGAAAAGATCAGCATATTCAGCCTGCCAATTATTTTCCTCCCTCCCCAACCCCACCCCCAAACACAAGTTCCTTAATATTAATAGTGCTGGAAATCGCAGCAATGAGCACATTGTTGGGGTGAAACTGAACATTACTCTCTAAATGAGATCCTGGGTGTGAAAGCAGAAGGTCCTCTCTGTCTCCCAGATCAGAACATTATCTGAGGCCAACAGCTCTGCAGCAGCTCTTAACCTCAAGAAAAGGGCTCGGCATTTCTGGTTCCCCAATAAAGCCACAGCACACCCTGGGACTGTTCAAATTATGGATACACACACACACACACACACACACACACACACACACACTCAAAGGAGATTATTACTAAGCTTGGGCTACAGCTTAAGAGGCATAAGTGGCATTCTCTTATTCCTCTGACTTGAATCCCTACACCTGTTACCCAAACTTCACTCACTGTTCTCCTCCACAAAAACACATTGTATCTTTGACATTACTATCAGTTTTGATATCAGAAGAATATGTGCCCAGGCAGCAGCATGACATATGTTGAAAGAGCTAGAACACTTGGAACTCTAACCTACTTTTATGAGACTTTTTTTTCTGGGTACGAGTCCCTTAGCCCATCCTTAAAGAAATATGACCAGCACCCATTCCCATCATTTAACTTTCCCAGATTAGAATTGAAACCTCTTCCCAACTGTACTGCAGGAGGTAGAAACTAATAGTTCTTTCTGAAGATTAAACCCTCTTAACCTTCAGGTGAAGAAATAAATATTATGCTGTTAAAGGATGAACCCCAGTCTAATGTCTATTAAATTCTTCCTGGCAGATTTTCCAGAGGTACAATAAGCAAAAGGAAAGAATAATATTTTCAATTTGTTAGATAAATGTAGGCAGGATTGGAGGAAAATAAATGAAGAGTACTTGCTTAGACTCTCGTATCGCTAATAACCCTGGAACATAATCTGAAGGGTTATTTAACCCCAGAGAGTTCAGGCTAGTGATGGAGGTCTCTGTGGGAGCAAGGTTTAGTCTCTGGATAATAGGCCTGCAAGGCCTGGGAAGTTAGCAGTGCCCCAGCAAGCAAGATGCATTTCAGAGAAAATCCTAATGGAAATTGGGAAGTCATCTATCAGTAAAGAACTGAGTGATCTTATCATGGGTTAGGAAGAAACAAGCAATTTCAGAAGCATTTGGGTAACTAGGATTTTACACCAATATATGAAATACCAGGGCTGGGATTGTAAGACTGGTGCAGGGGCTCCTGATAACTATTTATTCATGCATTAAACCATTATTGTGTACCTATTATGTCCTACACTCTGTGATCATTGCTGCTAACGCAAAGACAAATAGGATGTAGTCTTCAAGCAGCTTACCACGTCTACCGGGAGAGATAGTGAAGAGTCAATACATGACAATTTCAGAAGGGAATGCTTCCAAAATGGAGTGAGGATCTCTCCAAATTTAGGAGGGCATGGGTATCTACAGTAAGCAGAAACTGATAATTCCTTCTTTACAAATTTTTCTAAAATCTGCCATACTCCAAATATAATTCTCCATCTGAAAAAAAAATCATGAGAGACTTTAAAGGAAATGTGAACTAGTAATTATATTATACAAGCTAATCCCACAAATAATCATATGAAACATAAAAAATTTCATTAACACCTAAGCCCGTCTGTATTTATTTTGTCTCATTCAATAGCACATCATGACTCTGTTTCCATGGCTCCAAAACAACATGGAAATTTGGTCAGGTCAGTCAAATAAAAAGTCAAATGAGTTTTTAAAAGACAAAAAGACACAAACTGAAATGGTTGCTATCTTCATCCTTTACAGGCACAGTCTAAAGCCTATTTGTTTCTCTTTGTTGGCTGTCTGCTTTCATACTGATTCTCAAATCCCTTTTCTCTACTATTTTATATAATACACAACTTTGCCTGAGTTAAATTGCATATAATATCTTAATACATCATCTTCCAATCATTAATTTTCATCAGAGAATGTCAGCAAGGAATTATGTCAGATTACTTGAACCAGATTTTTTCTCATAAATCCATTGTAACCTCTATATAGCCTTCTTTTCTATCAGAAAGTATCCATCTCTCTTGGAAGCTTCTTAAATTTTTTTGAAAATAAAGTTAAACTTACTCAAACTGCCCTTGTCTTTCTTCTTTAACAAATGTTTATTGAGTTTCTATTATTTGAAAAGCATTTAGTAACATGTTGAGGATTAAGGACAAATATAGTCTCTGATTTACAGGTAGAGTGAGATTTTCCATGCTGTTTTGAAGAAAAGGCAAGTTATCCCATAATGACAAGAAGTTGTTCTCAGTTGGAACTGGAACCAACACCTCCTTGAAAGACTTGTTGAGAGGCCGACCCAGTGCAGAATTTCCACTGACTGTTCAACCCTCCACCAATCCCCACATCAAAAAAAAAGTCAACCATGGGGCCAGATGAGGTGGGTACTACAGGGTTTATGAAAAGAAGATAAAGGAATAAGAGATGCTCCCCTGTGAGAAGCCAATATAATTATCTGTGAAGCCTGGAGGTTCCAGAAAGATGGAGTTACTGACAACTGGCTCCCTGGCTGGGGGCTTGCTGAGCTGCAGTACCCCTAGGTCCATGCTGGCAACACCCCAGGGAGGAGCATGCTAAGGGATCCTTAGGAGAGAGTTCTAGAACTCTGAAGGTATGTTGGTGTTATTTTTTGGTCTGTTTCCCCAACTGTGGACAGGAGGAAGTAAGTGCTTCAGAGGTTTATCTTAAAGTTTATAGGTCATTCTTGAATATAAAGCAGGCTGCCTATTTCTGGCTCCTTAGAGACTTACAAGGGATAGAGACCACTGGAGCAGCCCATGCCAGTGGAAATTAAAGGGTTTGGCATTCCTAGGCAGCCTTTCCCAGCTCTTCACAGCCCTCAGAGCATGTGGAAAAGCATTCCACTTTCATAGAATACAGTACAGAAATGAGCTGAGAATACCCTGGCAGTTTCTGAGCCAATAGATAGGATGTCTAATCCAAAGAAGTGTACTGCTGGAGAAGTGAAGGGATACATGGCTATTCCTTGAGGGAATGTTTCAGTGATAAGGAAGGCTGGGGCAATGATAAATGCCACCCAGTGAAGACCAAGCACACCATCTGGTTGGAAACCTTAATGCCAGCAGATACTATCAACATCCTCAGCTGGAACCAGATTGGCCTAAGGGAAGATGTGAAACCACCACACATGGGCAGTCAAGTAAAAACACTTCTGCCTCCCCATATGCTTGCTTCCATCTTGCCTACCACGCCACAGAAGTCAATGCCCAGGAAAGGACTTAGGGGAGAGGGGACTAAGCACCAGGCCTCAGCCCCCACCTCCTTCACATCCAGCTTCCACGGCAACAGCTGAGGAGAAGATGAGATTTGATTGAGATTAATAGTAAAGCTTTTAAAATAAACACATTTAAGTCTCCAACTAGTGATCATTATTTCATAAAATAAAATAATTTCTTGTATAGGTCAATTAGTTGCTACCTACACATGTATAAGCTTATTTTAATTTTCCTGTAATTTTTATATATTTAGGAGGTGCAAGTACAGATTTCTAACATGCATATATTGCATAGTGGTGAGGTCTGGGCCTTTTGTATACCCATCACCCGAATAGTGAACATTGTACCCAATAGGTAACTTATCAGCCCTTTCCCCACTCCCACTATCCCACATTTTAGAGTCGCTAATGTCTATTATTCCATTCTGTATGTCCATGTGTTCCCATTGTTTAGCTCCCACTTACAAGTGAGAACATGGGGTATTTGACTTCCTGTTTCTGAGTTATTTCACTTAGCATAATGGTCTGCAGTTCCATCCATATTGCTGCTAAAGACATTTCATTTTTATGGCTGAGTACTATTCCAAGGTATACATATGCCCAATTTTCTTTATCTAATCCTCCATTTGGAGACACAGGTTGATTCCATACCTTTACTATTGTGAATAGTGCTGTGATAAACATATGAGTACAGGTAACTTCTTTTTTTCTTCTTCTTCTTCTTCTTTTTGAGATGGAGTCTTGTTCTTTTGCCCAAGCTGGAGTGCAGTGGTGCAATCTTGGCTCACTGCACCCTCCGCCTCCTGGGTTTAAGCGATTCTCCTGCCTCAGCCTCCCGAGTAGCTGGGACTACAGGTGCCTGCCACCATGCCCAGCCAATTTTTGTATTTTTAGTAGAGACGGGGTTTCACCATGTTGACCAGGATGATCTCGATCTCCTGATCTCAAGTGATCCACCTGCCTTGGCCTCCCAAGTGCTGGGATTACAGGCATGAGCCACCGTGCCCAGCCGAGGTATCTTCTTGGTATCATGATTTCTTTCCCTTTAGGTAGATACCCAGTAGCAGGATTGCTTATACACACAGAAACCTAAAAGTTGCATCAAATGTTTGGTTGCTTCAACAATTATCAAGATAATTGGCATTTTTTCCCTTTCATCAAATCGTTTATCATCATCCTTCTGTTAATCATTGAATATGACTTATTATAACTAGAAAAGAGCACATAGCATATACTGAAGGTCCTAAAATAAAAATTGATTTTAATGGATTGGTTTGCATAAAAAATATTCAAATGTACTTTATTTTCAGTTTTCCAAAAATGTCACTAACATACCCTTTAAAATATTCACATTAATAATAAATACTATATTTCAAAAAAATACATTCATTGAAGAAGTAAAATGAAGGAATGAAATACAAAATGTAAAAAATATTGCTTCCTTATGACTTCCTTGCAAAAATTATTTGTGTCTAGGTATAACTGATTAGTGTGGCTACTTTGACTAAAGGAGAATAAATAACATTGCAAGAAAAGTGAAGTGTATTTTAAGAATACAAAAGACATCTTGGATCTCAGAACTGGTGGAGAATTTTCCAGAGATTTCAAGAACCTAGAAGCAAGGAAGCCCTATAATCCCTCTCTTGGGGCCTCTCAATTTCTCTCTGGATTCTTGTTCCATTGTCAGCTTTTCACTAAAGAGACTCTTAAGCTGTCATGGTTTATTCTGGCTCATAAGTTTGCTACAACACTCAGTATCCTGACTCTTTGACCTTAGGTTCCACAACCAACTGGCAACTTCCCTTCATGTTTCTTAGTTCAAAGAAACAAGTGAGAAAACCGTACTGGTTCATATTTTTGTCCTAAACCAAGAGATAACAGCCAAAGCAGATATGGGCTACCCTTGGATCTTCATCACTCAGACTTTTTCAGCAAGGTGGGATACAGTACTTGAAGAAATTGAGCCCCTAGTGAACTCTAGTCCTAGGTCCCACCATAGAGAATCACGTAACAGCTGAGAAAAGGATTTTGACTAAACTTTATTTATATTATGCATAGTTTTATTTCTATTGAATTTCATTACAAATAAAATAGCCTTTTTAAAATCCATCTTATAATCTCACTTTGTGGCAGAAATTGAATCCCTTTAAGAAAAGATTTTCCATCTTATTTTTGGACCATAACATCACTGGGGTCATCAAAGATTTCAAAGACCCTACAGGTCATCTATCCCATATTTCCTCACTTATTAGTCCCCAAAATTTTACCGGAATTTTAAATTTTTTAATTGCAAGTAAATTATTCACACTTAGTAGAATGGAAAATACAAACATTTTCATGGTATAGGTAAAAATGCATTTAAATCACCTGAAGAAAAATTGCAGTTGCCTCTACACTCTAAAAACCACTTCCTGCATGGAAAAGAGAGCTCATAACCACAAAAGAAATTCTACCCAGAAGGAAACTCTTTCTGTCATCGAACTTAACCACATCCCCTCTTGTTCTTTACTCAGTGGAAATTAAAAATAATCTTTCTCAAATGAGCTAAGAAAAGCAACACCTCCTTTCTTACACAGCCACCTCTTATTAAGTACATCCTAAGTTAAAGACTTTTCTTACATATTGCTGAATTTGACTTAAAATTTGGAGGTCCTCATGAGCTCAATTTTCTCTTACCTTAAAAGGTTCTCAAGGTCAACTACAGGACTTCCTTGAAGCAAATCCAAATGACTTTGCCTTTTGGGTACAACACGTTTTTCTCATACAGCACCCTCAGTTTAACCCCATGAAACAATGAAGAATAAGAGGGCTAGAACTAGTGGCTTCTACAAACTAAATGTTAGTATTTTGTTTCCATATCATAGGCCTAATTGTAATATACTAACTAAAATATAAGAATGTATTTTTATTCTTCCCTGCTTTTGAACAGAAAATAACCAAACTATCAGTTCTATCTAATTAACAATGCCATGCTAATTTCACAACAGTATTTCCAAAATGACACACAAGGTGAATATGCTTCCGGAAAACATTAAAGATAATTCACTTGCAATACACTTGCAAAGATGAGACTCCAGGAATGAGTAATAACAAATGCAGATCCAAGTGCATTTGGAGGATCAGGAATGGATTGAACAGCACCTCCATTCTCCCCAGGTAGGACAGAGTTGATGGGTAAAATTAAGTAAGTTAGAATGTTCTGATGCATTCCTGAAGTATAAGCAGCCTTCTCCAGCCACCTCTAGCTCATTCTCCTCTAGTACATTCTTTCTCTTCCCAGTCAGGGACCCTGAAGCTGGTGTTCTTACAGGAAGCGCAGTCTTATCAATAATTCCCACACATGGCTGGGCACCAAAACCACCAGGATTAGTTGCTAAAAACACAGGATCTTGGGACCGCCCTGGTCGTTTTGAATCAGAAACCTGAAGAAAGATATAGTTAATCTATATTACCTAGCTAATTCCTAAGCAACCAGCCTGGTTCCAAACCCAAATCAAGCACTTGGGAGCTTCTGCCTGCATATAATGTTTAGGTTCCCTTCCTCAGATTGTGTGGCTATTGGCAGGAGAGTAAGGAAATCAAAAGGATTTCAGTAAGCCAATAGCAAAATTGGCAAAAAACAACACAATTCATACACACACACACAAACACACACATGCACACACTGTGCAAATGGCTGTTTAACACATGAAAAAATGATCCTCCTCATAACAAGACTAATACCTGTGAAAACCACACTGAGATACCATTTCTTACCTGTCAGACTGGCAAAAATTAAAAAGTATAACAATATATTCCGTTGCTGAGGCAGCAGGGGATACAAGAACTCTCACACATTTTTAGTCAGGATGCAAACTGATGTGATCTTAATGGAGGGGAATTCGGCAATGCCTAACAAAATTACATAGAGCGTTCCTTTGCATCTGAACCCAACAATCTCTCCTCTAGGAATTTACACGGAAGAAATACTTCCAACAATATCAAAATATGTATGCACATCTGTTTCCAATAATTGCAAAATCCTCACTCACCCTCTACCATTTTACCTGTGCCCTGTTCATGGCTAGAAAAACACATTTCAGTCAACAAGAGCACATCCATGTAGATAAGATCCTAGAGATACCTAAATTTGTGGTATGAGGAAAACTAAAGTTATACTTAAGAAATACGGCCCCCCAAAAAAACCGTACCTGACAGAGGCTGCACCAGTGCTTTCCAGAAACATTTTTCTCGTGTACAGAATTTTCTTTGGATGAGATACACCCTAGAAAATTAAATATGAAGAGAAGGAAGATTCCAGATCTTCTTCAGAGTCTCTCTGCACTCACTCTGAGAAGCCATCTTGGACTTCTAGATGTTGGCCTTCCCGCGTGATTCTGCCTCTGGCTCTGCCTTCCCTGCGGTTCTCTTTGGTTTTTTTGTTTGATTGTTTTTTTATTATACTTTAAGTTCTAGGGTGCATGTGCACAACGTGCAGGTTTGTTATATTTGTATACATGCGCCATGTTGGTGTGCTGCACCCATTAACTCGTCATTTACATTAGGTATATCTCCTGCGGTGCTCTTTGATCTAGTGTCTCATTTACACATAATTTCATCAAGGGCATTAAAATTCCCTCGCCAGGCCCTGAGGAAGCTTCTCTTCACATACCCACCCAAGAGCCAAGCAACTGGCTTTGAATGTACTTGTTAATTAAAAAAAAAAAAAAAATACGTTACAAAATTAAGGCAGAGGTTACTGTGTAACGACAACTATGGGAAGTAGAAAATGGTGGCACATAACAGCCTGCATCCCCACTACTCAGAATTAAGCTTTTTTTCCTATTTACTTTTATTTTATAATTTTTTGTAATTGATTTTAAAAAGTTTATGTACGGTGTACAATGTGATGCTTTGATATACGTATGCATTGTGGAGTGAGTAAATCAAGCTAATTAGCGTGTCCATCTCCTCACATACTTATTTTTAGTGGTGAAAACATTTAAAATCTACTCTCTCAGCAATTCATATATACATACATTGTTATTAACTAGCGTCAACATGCTGTTTAGTAGAGCTCCAGAACTTATTGATCCTGTGTAACTGCAACTTTTTATCCTTTAACCAAAATCTCCCCATTCCCACCCATCCTAGCCCTTTGTAAACCCCCATTATATTCTCTGCTTCTATTAGTTTGACTTTTTGGAATTTCATACAAGATCATGCCATAGTTGCCTTTGTTGTCACAAATGACAGGATTTCCTTTTTTAAGACTGAATAGTATTCCATTGTGTGCATATACCACCTTATCTTTATTCATTCATTCATTGATGGACACAGGTTAATTCCATATCTCAGCTAATATGAATAATGCTGCAATGAATATGGAAATGTAGATTTCCCTTTAAGACACTGATTTTGTTTCCTTTGAATATATGCCCAGAAGTGGAATTGATGGATCATATGGTAGTTCTATATTTAACTTTTTGAGGAAAATCCATACTCTTTTCCATAATGGCTGTACTAGGCTTTTATTTTTTATAGCATTTTTTTCAGGCATACTGTCTCAGCAGCTCTCACTCAGTAATTCATCATTAAATAGTTTTTTGAATTCAAATGTATAGAACTTTATTGCAATTTAAAGGTATATATATGTGTATATATATGTGTATATATGTGTATATATGTATATATGTGTATATGTGTATATATATGTATATATGTATATATATATGTGTGTGTGTGTATATATATATATATATATAGCTAAATTAACAAAAACGGTAAGTGGTCAAAAATTTAGTGCATCCTAATTAGTTTCATCCATTCCTCCAAAATTTAGGGCCTAAAATAATGCAGTAACTTCTGGAGTAGCAGCAATATGTATACTGGATTATGCTTTCTTACAAAAGTGATTTTTTAATAGGCACCAAGTAGAAAGAATCTGCATCATTTAAGAGTCCCCTGTGTGGAAGAATCTGTTCTATTTTATGTTTGTTGATTTGAAAGGGTATTTCAGAAAGAATGGGAAAATGAGCCCAGGAGATCAATATTCTGAACAATTAACCTATAAACAAATAAAAAACACAGTATATGGGCTACTTAATGTCACATCTCTATAGACAGACAACAATACATTTGTAAGCAAGCTTGACATGATGGATATAACTAGATTAGTGGCATACTTTGCCAAAACAAAAGCACATGTGCTTTCTTTCATTGTTCCATGTTGTGAGAGATGCTCTCTGCCTTTCCCTCTCTTTAATCCTCTCACCCTGATCTTCATCAATAATTTGGACATTTATATAATAGCTTTGCAAAAGAAAAAGCAGAGGCAAACTTACCCATTGTGAGGCTCAAGTTTAAGCCATTTTTTTAGGACTCCAAGGGAAATACCACACAAAAGACATAAGAAGCTATGGCTTGCCTAGTTTCCTGAAGATGATGTTGGATCTGTATATGCACTCACAGCTTACCATTTTGGTGACAAATCAATGGTTCCCAACTATGACTGTACATTAGAATCTACTCAGAGGTTTGTAAAAATACTCACTTCTCCCCCCACCTAGCCACCCAGCCAATTGACATGGAATCTCAAAAAGTTGGGCTCAACACCTTTAGTTCTTAAAAACTCCAGATTTTTAAAAAAATCTATCCCTGAGGCACAGGGATAGTTGAGATCAACTTCATTAAATAAAGAAATCTCCTTTTTGTTCCAGTCCACAAACTGTATCAATAAGCCCAAAACTTTATAAGCCACCAATATTACCCTTTCTTGCCTGCTGGAAAAGTCTAAGTGGAATTGTTATTTAAGATACTTTGACTGGATCCCAGGAAGCATAGTTTCTGAAAGATATTCATTTATGCCAGAAATAAAAATTATCTTTAAAACCAGAATAGAAAATTTTAATGACCAAGAATTTGCAGAAAACACATTGATAACATATCTCCTAGAGATAAACCAATTTCAATATATTTGAAATATATATCTATTCTTAAATATCTATTTTTGTATTTTAGAAAATATGTGCTAGTATTATTACCTACTTGTTTGTTTTGAGTTGCATGAAATATAGAACCATGTTAACATAGAATTGAGATATTTATATAAAATGTAAAACCTTACACAGTTGTCCTAAATGAAAGAGAAGAAATACAACAGATAAAGTAGTGTTATTTTCCTCAACTTTGGTCCTTCTCAACTCTTTATAATAGTTTCCCTTTCTATGAGTGGTAAGAATTCATGAGATTGTAACATAGAACATATCTTCCAAAGAGGATGACACTGCTTTTTAAATAATAAAGACTAGATTAATTATTAAAAGGAAATATAAAGAAATTTACAAGGGAGACATTTCATGAAAAATAGCTACCTGTTCTTTGAAAGAAAGAAAAGGTGTAGCATATTCTTTATCGACTACTTCCTCCTCTGGGGGAAAAGAAAGGTGAGTGCTTTGACAATATTTATGTGAGCAAGATGAAATAATGGAGACAATGCCAGCTGCCAAGGAGATCAAATCCATGGAAAAGAAAAATACAAGCAGTAGGTGTAGGGGGAAGAAAGAAAAGCATTAAAAATTAAAGCCAGACAATAACTGCAAGAGAGAATTTAACATCTGAAAAGACTTTTGAATTACAGATAGTGCTAACAATGGAAGATGTGTCTAGAGAAAACAAGGTAAGGGAAAGAGTAACCAAAAAGAGTTTTAAAAAATAAGCAGAATAAAAATTATATCATTTGGTTTTATCACTTTAATGAACATAAGCCAAAGGGTAAGGTTACAGGCAAAGGTTTATTTCACCTGTGTACTTTCATCAGTTCCCAAGTCAACAAATATGTGGACAGAATATGACAATCTTGAAAGCAAAAAAATGGAAATGGGCACTAAAGCTCAATGCATATGTTATTGTTGACATGTTTCACCTTTGCTTTCAGGTACTTCAAAATATTTGCTTCTGGAATCTCGTATCCCAGTCTGTATTTGGACTCAATAGTCCATTGGCCAAATTTTTGTCCAGGCTTATCTTCAGCTTTTTTAGTTTCACATGGCAAGGGAAACAATGGAATAATCTGCCTGCTTTATAAAGGCAAGTCCAACTCAGCCCAGCCTGCTGTTCCTTTGCAGGTTGCCTTGGGGCGGAGTGGGAGAAGTGTTGCTGAAGAGAGAGAAGAGACTTCAGTGGCAACCTCATTTTTCTGCACACCAATACTAAAGCAATGTGCTGCTTTGAGATGAAATAAAATTGTAAATAGTTCTCACCTTCATCCCTCTCCATCCCTAATTTGTAAAATAAAAATATGATGGTTTTTGTTTTGTTTTAATTCATGTTATTTTCTTTGCGGAAGGTGTGACTGTTGGTAGCAATTTACAAAACTGGCACTTTTTGTATACTTGAATTGAGTGTTTGTCTTTTATTATTTCAGTTCAGGGAAATATTTTCCTAGATCACTGCCCCGTAGGACTATGCGATAGGTTATAATAATTGACGTCAAAGAATACTATTGTACATGCATTCTATGCAAGGAATGCTATTATACATGCATTCAATCTAAGGCAGTGGTAAAAGTGATCATTGTTATCTGAAATCTTTGCTGAGATTTTTTTGAGAGCACGTATAAATAAGCTCAAAACACTCAGAAGTATTTATTTCAATTTTTCTATAAGTAAAACATTCATTTAAGGCTGTATTTTATATTAGCTAGTGATTAATAAATAATTCAAAATTCCCCATATAGGTGCTTTGGATTTTAGTTAAAGTTATCAATAATCTTTGAATTTTTAGTTTCCCAGAAGACAATGGGTGACTACTGGGGGAAAAATTAACTTACAAATACAAAAGCTCTGAACGTTTATGCAACTAACCTAGTACTACTGAGTAAAGCTCTCTATGCATTTAGTCAACAGCTATTTACTAAGTATCTACTCTGTGCCTGGTACTTTACTACAATCATTTCTTAGGCTTGTCAATGAAACTGAATTTTATTTGCCTCCAATAAACTCCTAGACAAGGGGAGAAACAAAAAGTTAAACCATTATTATATTAGTGGCCCTTATAGAGTGATCCCAGATCAGCATCACCAGGGAACTTGCCAAAAATGTAAATTCTGAGACCCTGCCTCAGACATTCTCAATTAGCAATCGCAGGGCAGAACCCACCAATCTGTAGTTTAGCGAATTCCCTAGGTGTTTCTAATGAATACCAAATTTGAGCACCATCGTATTATCACATGTACTTCAAGGCAGTCACCAGACCATGAATAATTAATGACGTGTTCTTTATTCCTCCTTGGGAACTAGTTCACACACTTCCAGGGGTGATTATCGAGATTTGAAAAGTGAGGCAGGTGACATGGGAAGGAAGTTGTAGGCAAAAATCAATGGGATAAATAAAAACCTGTAAGAAATTATTTTGCATATAAGGTTTAAATGTCTGTTGTAACCTGTTTAAATGAGATTTTTTTAAATAATGTCCTTGAGTAAGTTGGGCTTGTAACTGCAAGCCCTAAAACAATTTATTCTAGTTGTGTGGCAATTGCTACGGACATGAGATGATCGCATATGGCAGAAGGGCAAAGTACAACTAAGTTGCCTCCATATATGTTCTGCTCACTGGACAATTTATCTGGGGCTGAAAAAACTTTTAACTGTTGAAAATGTTGTCATGAGCTTGATGTGCTCCTGACATGCAGGCACTGTGTCTCTATTATTCTCACATTTTGGCTTCTGTCTTTGGAAAAAATAATTGGTGGTGAAGGAACTCAGAAAATATATGTATGTTTTATGTCATTCTAAGTGGTCAAGTGCCTAAAGCAATATTCAGCCAAAGCTGTAGCTGACGCCGAATATCAAATTCATCATAGCTTCCGGGATTTGACAATAAATCTTAAATTTTAGCAAAAAATTACTACTACAATTTTATTATTAACAGTTCAGGAGTCGATTTTTAAATGCTTGATATAGCGCAGGAACAATCATTTCTTAGCCTTGTCAATGGCTGAAATGCTTCTGTGGTCACTGTACTGTAAATTTATGATACTAAGTAGACACTTAATTTCAACCAAGATAAGTCGAAGAACAAGATATCTCTTGGGTGTCTCACTTTTCCCCAGCACTTATTTCTTTTCTTCATACTCTTTACAATTCTAAATCAAAGGTGATTTATTATAGATATTGTTGAGCAAGATTTTGAACACTTTTTTCTTCATAAAATATTAAGATGGAAAAGTTGGCATTCTGCTTTAATTCAACCTCAGATGATGTGAAGAATAATCAAATAGACTTTTTTCTTGAAACACAGCACTAATGCACGTGGCTACAAAGCTACAAGAGAGCAGAAATTTATTCTGTTCACTGATGCTCCCAAGTATGTAGAAAAGTGGTAATAAGCACATAATAGGTACCCAGTAAGCATTGATGTAATAAACGGAAGGTCAAATGAATTTAAATAACTACAAAACTAAAAACGGTTCTTAAAGTTTATTATTTATTTGTTTATTTTTGAGATGGAGTCTCACTTTATCTCGCTCAGGCTGGAGTGCAGTGGTGCAATCTCAGCTCACTGCAGCCTCCACCTCCCAAGTTCAAGAGATTCTCCTGTCTCAGCCTCCTGAGTAGCTGAGACTACAGGTGCGTGCCACCACCTGGCTAATTTTTTGTATTTTTAGTAGAGATGGGGTTTCACCATGTTGCCCAGGCTGGTCTTGAAGTCCTGACCTCAGGTGATCCACTCACCTCGGCCTCCAAAAGTGCTAGGATTACAGGCATGAGCTATGGTGCCTGGCCTAAAGTTTGTTTTGAATATCACAAATAGTAGTATGCCAAACGACTCCACAGTATTCAAATTATTGTATATAGCCATGAAAACTATTAAATAGAAGATAATGAGGATGAACCAAAAATTAAAGCATACTTTAGAGCCACAAGAATTAAAACAGCAGGATAGAAATGGAGGATTATGTGGACAGACTAAAGGAATCAAATAGGAAATCTGAATGTAGCCTCAAATACATGTGGGAATTCATTGGAGTTTGCCCTGGTATGTTGTATGAAAACAATTTGATCTTTTACCATATGGCTATCCATAGGTCTCAACTCCATTCATTAAAAAGCCCATCTTTGTGCCAAGTGATTTGAGATTTTACCTTTATCATACATCCAATTCCCACATAAAGCAACTTCAAAAGCACACATTTAGTATACTTTTTCCAATCATACATTATTCTTTAGATGTAAAGAATTAGAAACAATAAAAAGAAATTGTGCTATCTATATTATTCTTCTCTGTATTATCATTTAAATAATTTTAAAGATCTATTGACTGACAATGACTAATTTTTTCTAAAATTATACTCCTAATAAAATATTTTTAATACTTATATTAACCATAGTTTTCTCAGTTTCAACTTTAAAACAAAAACTCTTTTGTGATCATAAAATTGTAGCATTTTACTTTTGTATTTGTTTTTATTGATGAAAGTTTTTTTGATGTCACTTCAACTTTTATTTTAGATTCAGGGGGTACATGTGCAGGTTTGTTACATGGGTACATTGTGTGATGCTGAGGTTTCGGATATAAATGATCCCATCACCCAGGTGGTGAGCATAATACCCAATTGTTAGTTTTTCAACTCTTGCTTCCCTCCCTCCCTCCCCCTCCAAGCAGTCCCCAGTGTCTGTTGTTGCCGTCTTTTTGTCCATGAGTACCAAGTGTTTAGTTCCCGCTTAGAAGTGAGAACGTGCAGTATTTGGTTTTCTGTTCCTGTGTTAATTCATTTAGATGCCCTTAAATGCTCTTAAATTCACTTAAATGCTCACTATATGACAATGACCTCCAGCTGCATCTGTGTTGCTGCAACGGACATGATTTTATTCTTTTTTATGCTGTATAGTATTCCATGGTGTATATGTACTACATTTTCTTTATCCAATCCATCACTGATGGACATCTAGGCTGACTGCATGTCTTTGCTATCGTGAATAGGGCAGCAATGAAAGTGCAAGTGCATGTGTCTTTTTGGTAGAATGATTTGTTTCCTTTTGGATATATGCCCAGTAATGGGATTTCTGTGTTGAACGGTAGTTCTGTTTTAAGTTCTTGGAGAAATTGCCAAACTGCTTTCCACAGTGGCTGCCCTGATTTACATTCCCATCAATAGTTTATAACTATTCCCTTTCTCCATAGCCTCACCAGCATCTGTTATTTTTTGACTTTTTAATAATAGCCACTCTGTCTGGTGTGAGATAGTATCTCATTGTAGCTTTGATTTGCATTTCTCTGGTGATTACTGGTGTTGAGCATTTTTTCAGTGTTTGTTGGCCATGTGTATATCTTCTTTTGAGAAGTATCTGTTCATGTCTTTTGCCTACTTTTTAATGCGGTAATATGGTTTTTGCTTGTTGAATTTTTTAATTTCCTTATAGATTCTGGATACTAGACCTTTGTCAGATGCATAGTTTGTATTTTCTCCCCTCCTGTAGATTGTCTGTTTACTCTGTTGATGGTTTCTTTTGCTGTGCAGAAGCTCTTTAGTTTAATTAGCTCCCACTTGTCAATTTTTGTTTTTGTTGCAATTGCTTTTGAGGTCTGAGTCATAAATTATTTCTAAAGGCAGATGTGCAGAATGGTGTTTTTTAGGTTTTCTTCTAAAATTCTTATAGTTTGAGATCTTACACTGAAATCTTTAATCCATCTTGAGTTAATGTTTGTATATGTTGAAAGGCAGGGGTACTGTTTCATTCTCCTGCATGTGGCTAGCTAGCTATTACAGCACTACTGAATAGGAAGTCCTCTCCCCATTTACTACTCATGTTCCTTGCTAGCTCCACACTCCTGCCCAACCTCACAACTTTGGGAGACCCACACCAACTCATTTCATGATTTCATTCAGTCTTCTATCTTTAAATGCTCACTATATGACAATGAGTACCAAATTTAAATCTCTAGACCAGATCTCTCTTCTGAACTCAAAACTGAACATCTAATCTTCCTTCCCAAAATGATCCACTCAGTCCTCATTTTAATTGATGGGGAATAATCTTTGACTCCTCTTTTTTAAATCTCACTTTTCTGAGATTTGATCACCTTCACTTTCAACCTTATCTACTTGTCGCTGCCTTCACTATGACACTCATTCAAACTACCACCATCACTAACCTAAATGACTGCAATAAGCTCCTAATTGGATTTCCTCCTACAATCTCCTTTCCACACAGCCCCCATTTAACACATAAATCAGACTGTGTCATTCCTCTGCTCAAAGTCTTTAATGGCTCCCTTTCTCACTCAGGAGCCAAAGCCCTCGGAATGTTCTACAAATTCCCATATGATCTGGCTTTCCATTATTCATCTAACTTTGTCTCCTATCATTCTTCCCTCATTCTTCAATCGAGTACATTGACCTTACACACTCCAGATATCTGCTTAGCTAACTCTCTCTCCTCCTTGAAACCCTTGCCCAAACGTTACCTTCTCAATGAAATCTCTCCTAAAAATCCTATTTAAAAGCGCACCATGCCTCTTATCCCCAGTATTCCAAATATCTTTGCCGTGGGCATTTTTTTTTCAAGCCACTTATTGCCTTCTATGAAGTTTGCTTATTTATTATGTGTATTGCAAATTTTATGTATCCTTTCTCTACAGTGTAAGCTCCATGAAGGAAGGAATTTTTCTCTGCAGGCACCTCAAGTGTTGCTGCCACATAGTAAGGACTTAATACAATATTTGTTAAACGAATATATGAATTTGTGCTAAGAATGAGCAGAAAAGTGTCTTTTTTGGAAATAGGCAAATCAACTATCAAATAGGAGAAGTCATTATTTTCTGTCAATTTTAATTAACCACAAAACTAATATTGAAGGGGAAACAGTAAAGAAAGATTTAAACAGAGTTTGAAAATAGTCTTTTAAAGGAAAAAGAATATAAATAGCTATTTTCAGCAGGCTTCTATTGGTGAATATCTAGCTTATCTGTAGTTTAATGATGTATCTATTTCCATTTTTATTCGTATGTGGTTGCCTGTATGTGTAACGTGCCTCTAGAATGAATTACTGGTAGTGGACTCACTGGGTCATAAAGTATGTACAATTTAAATTTTAAATGACATTACCAAATTGCCTTTTATGATTGTGCATTTATTTACAATGACATTATCAGGGTATATACATGCTTATATGTTATAAGTTTTCTACAATAGCCTCTTTAGTATTGCAATAAAAGAAATATTAATATACACACATGAAAAACATAGCCATTTTAATTATTGGTATTTTCAAAAAATATTTCAATAAAGTATAAATATAATGACCAAAAGGGAAGTGAGAGTCAAATGGGGAATGATGAGTGAATGCATTATGATGAAATTAATAAATGCTGTATGAATTAATGGAGGGACGGATAGATAGGTGGGTGAATGGGTGGGTGGATGAATAGATAGATGAATGGGTGGATGGATGGGTGGAGGATCGATGGATGGATGGATGGATGGATGGATGGATGGATGATCAGAGGAATATTGAATGAGTAGGTACTTGGCAAGAGGTGGTAAATATGCAAGAGGGGCAAATGGGAAAACAGAGTTACCTGGTTCCATGCAATAATCAGGACAACATCAGAAAAGTAACTGCTTTGATAGAAAAAAAAGCTAATTGAAGGAAACAGTTGAAAACCATGTTTTGTTTCTTTTCTAACTAATTTCAAGAGAATAGCATGAATTAGAATATAGGAAACATCAACAAAAGCTTCCCTTCTCACAAAGCAAAACACTCGTGACTGCTTGAATAAAACAAGTGTCAGTATGAAGCTGACTGGGAATCAGATGGTGATGTTTCTAAAATTAAATTGTAAACTATGTTCTCATCTCACACATTGCAGCCTAGTGACTGCTTCAGAGATGCAGAGTAACTTGGAAGACTTGGGCATTAAAAGTAATGACTAACCTTTAGCATAGGGAACTCTTCTCAAAGAGGGGGGATGTTTTAAATCCATAAAAATCATTATGGAAACGACAGAAACCCCTGATATTACCTGGTCACCCCAATCAGCATATCTCAGATTCCCTTTCCTTCACAGAAAAGTGATCCCAGGCCCTAATGTGTTCTGACTGGATATTACCTTCCTAAGAATACATGACATCAAAAATCCTCTTTGTCTCTATTACCTCTACACAAATTCTAGTTCTTTCTTTCTAATCAATGTCAGTACCCTGAGATTATTAACACAGCCTCTCTCAATCCCTTGAACAACATATCTCTTTAGATAATTATGAAAGAATATGTTAAGAATAAGAAAATTTGCATGGAACTATGCCTGGCTGACAAAAACCAGTGGGAATGAAACGAACATATGCTTAGAAGTCAGAGAGACCTGAGTTTGAATCTTGACTCTGCTATTTCTAGTTGGATAAATCTCTGAGCCTCTAGCTCTTCATCTTGAAATACTTAACACTGATGTGTTATATATTAAGTTGGTCTATAGAAGCACTAACACATTATAGCCTTCCATTTTTGAATAATGGTCCTCTAGATAAAATACAAAGGGAAACCAGATGTGCCTTTATAATCTGTCATTATATATTGATTATTGATTTGGGGAGTTGAGTAATTTGGAATTTACTTATTTCAAAAAATTTACTGGTCAAGAAAGCCAAGTACTTCTGTCAGTTGTTACACCTGCAGATAGCATTTTGGTGTCTTTCACTGATGAAGTTCAGGGCACCTTCTAAATTTATGAAACATCTGTTTAAGCAGCTGGTTATTCATTAAATAAAAATAAAAATGTACCACTTTTCCCTGGCAATGCTAATAAATGGGAACAGGTGATGATCCCAAAAGAGATTATGATTATAAATGAATGTATTGAAATTCTTCACTATTTTTATAGAGGCATCAAAATAAAAACATATAAAAAGTGAAAGAGGAGCTCGTGGAGCCCCTGGAATACACTGGGGACCCTAGGGTAATGGCTCACCTGCATGTCCCACTCCACTTAGATACCACATTCTACATGGAAATTCACCAGGATCAAAACTAATATTCTTTCTGCATCACTCCCTAAATTTACCACCTGAAAATTTCTAGTTAGTAGCAATAGGGCAATTTCTAAAACTCAAATTCCAATCATTACTACATGAAAAGGCAACATTTTGTGAAACTCATGTTGAAAAGTCTGCCTCTAACTATGAGGACTAAGCAATAATTTTTGAGACAGGAAAATGGGATTCTACTCGTGTGACAAGTAAGGAAACAGAAATTAACTGACTTGAAACTATACTAAGCGTTTTGACCTAAATGATCATATTTGATCAAAAACTCAAGATTCAACTTCCAGCTTCCCATCAGTTGTCAACACCTTTTTATTAGAAGGGTGCTTAGAAACTAGAAAACAAGTCAAGTCATTTGAATTTAGCAGTGCAACAACTGGGAGATGGTCTTCTGCTTTGCTCCTTATCCCTCACCTTACCCAAGTGACCAGTGAACTTTTCTGCACCGTTTTCTCTTTGCAGATTCCCCCCACAATCATGGAACTGAAAAGTTCCAGCACCCATATGGTAAAGCAAGGTCAATAAAAAGGACAATACTTTCATTGTGTGCCAGACTCAAGAGTTGCTTTTAGAATTTAGGAGCAAGAGATGCTGAACTGTTATGAGTTGCTGTGATGATGCATAATTAGACGGTGATTTAACACAGAGCTAAAAAAATAAAAATGACAGTAATCATGGGGGGAAAGAATAAAATAGCAATGAAAGCAGTTAAATGAGCCGAAGTGCCTGGTGTTTCGTGATGTGTATCTGTTAGTAATTTCTCAGACGGTAACAATAGAGGTAATTTCACAAATAACAGGGATTCATCAATTCACAATAGCACTCACTGGTATTTAAGACCAAAGAAAAGGAATTGTATTTGGCTTATCAACTTAAAGAAATAGTTATGAAACTTGGGCCTAGCCTGCACATTACAAAGTAAAATGGAGAACTGATCCTTAATCAGGAAAATTCAAAGCTGTACAAATCTGAATTATAATGACTTTCAAGGTAGATAATTGCTTTGGAGAAAGTTGCCCAAAATTAAGAAAAGGTTAATAATGGTGTTTTATGGGTAAGACAGATAGACTGCTTCCTGTCACCTTCAGAATACTCTCTGGCTGTTGCATTCCTCTCCAGCTTCACTTAAACACGCATCAAAAGCATTCAAAATTCTAGCCATGGAAAGCCACCCTCATTATCCCCATCGAGCTTAGCTTTTCCACACCTGTGCACATGTGATTTCGCCTAACATTTCACTAGGACAGCAACTCATCCCTCAATGTTGAGTTCAAGTGACATTTCTCCCAAGCTACTCCTGCTGACTGTGGTCTCCTTATCCTCCAGAATGCCCACAGATTGCTGCTCTGTACTTCCATCCCACCACATGGCATTAATCACTGTATAATAACTGGTTTGTAGCTCTTTCTTTCACACTAGCTGGGGTTCCTTAAGAGCAATGATTGCATTTCTTTGCTGTTTCCTCAGTCCTTGAGACATAATACCTGCACAACAAATGTTGATGAATGAATGAGAGAATTAAAGTATCAACAGTGAGAAAAATAAGTATTGAATCACTCTCCCCACTATCATTCTCTTCCCAGTATCTATGAAAGATACATAAGGGAACTGTCCATAAGTTCCTCCTTATTCAAAAATTGCTTCTAACTCAAGGGATAATTTCAAAAAGTTTTAAGAATACGTTGACTCAAAATGTCCCTACAACTACAGTGAATGAAAAATGGGAGAGTGATAAAAAACACATGCAATATGGCTTATCTTATTTAAATCTGGCATTTGAAAAGATTTATATTATACTCCATGATAAAATGAGAGTAGCAAAATAATCCTAGCTAATGATTTTCCTTTTTTCTGTTATTCAGCTGTTATTATATCTATTATATATGTTTAATTAGAAGTTGCTGTAATTTTTAATGTTCTATATATGTTATATATATGTTTGATATATGTTATATATATATACACACACACATACATACACACACACACACACACACACACACACACACACACACACAGAGTATATATGTTTTATATATATGAGATGTGGTCTTTCTCTGTTGCCTAGGCTGGAGTGTGGTGCCATGATCATACATTGCTGCAGCCTCGGATTCCTGGGCTCAAGCAATCTTTCCCAACTCAGCCTCCAGAATCACTGGGATTACAAGTGCAAGCCACAGAATTGCTATGATTTAGAAAAATCTCAAAGTTGTTGAAACATAAAAAATGTGAGCCTTCTACTGCTCTTTTTTTTCTAAACCACAAGATATTTTTAAATCTCTTTATTTTCAGTGTTACTGTATAACAAACAGCACGTTGATTTTCCCCAAGAAAACAAAGTGCAACAGAAAAATGAGCAATGTAGTAATTAAAAACCAAAGTAAAAAATGATATAAGCCTTTTAAAAAGTCATAAAATCGTGTGTTTACTTGAAGAAAAGAGAATATTTTATGTGCATCACTATTATAGGAACTAAAATTTACAATTTATCAATATGAGCATGTAAAGAGAGATAAGCAATCCTGCACTGATGCAAAATGATTATGCAAATAGAAAAGCTTTTAAAATTATTGCCTATAATCTTTCAACATAGGATAATTGGCTTTTCCCCTTTGCCTAAGCTGTCTTTAGTCCAGCAATTGTGTTTCAATTTTTTCCTTCTTAGTCACAACCAATTTATTTTTTCTTTTTCCTTCTTGGGAATCATCATAATCTTTATACTCATTTAACCCCAGTGGAATGGTAGAATGATTACCCAAGTGAATCAGTTCTGGCTCAAAGAAATCATTTAACATTTCCTGAAGTAAAATGAATATGATTTGAGAGGATGGAGTGAGGGAGGCCACAGAACGATGGAACAAGGGACTGAAGTACTGGGGGTTTCTTGTAATTGTTAAGTACATAAAATCCATATACTTATAGAACAAACTGAGCATTGCTTGGTGTGACAAGATGGCATTTTACCATGTTTACTATACCCAACTTTCTTTTTTTGTCAACTTTATGGAAGTGGAGCCCTACAGAAGGGAAATCATAATGTAGAAAAATAAAATATTTATGCCTTAATTCAGAAAGCACAATTCATTCCAGATTTCAGCGCACAATGTGAGCACTTTACAGTACTTTACGGTGCTAAGGCAAGGACTGTGGGTGCTTGTGTCCCACCTGAAACAAGATTAGGCAAACATCAATAAACTAGCATTGGCCTGTGGAGAGGGAAATGTTTTTTCCTCTCTTCTCAACAAGCATATCGTAGACTCCTACTGCGGAATATGCCCACAATCCCTCCATTCTTTCCGCTCAGTTCCATTCATGGTTCCCAAAGACACTGCTGATATAGCCATCTGAGGAAGTCAAGCCAATGAATTCATTCCCTGGATGTTTGGACTTGAAACCAGAGAGAGCCAAGGCACTATCCCTTCAGGAGCTAGCAACTATCAGCGCTATGTTTTCCTCCATGTGGCAATAACTGTTAGTGATAAGAGAAATGAATAAACATGAACTATACAGGAAACATTCCTCATTGTCCTTCCACTAAAAGAGGAAAACCACCAGACAGGACTTGTCTATGTAGGTCATTATCTTTCAGCTCTAACAACACCACTGTTGATAAGATCAGAGGTCCAACAGGCCTTCTTCTGATATCTTTCCACTCCTCAGTCAATAGCGCCTCTATTCATCTAACGGTATTAGTCAGGAACCTGAAAGCACCTCAAATATATTTTTCCATCGTTTACTATATCCAGTCTAATTACAAGCCCAGTTGATGGTAAATAATAATTATCTCTGGAATCAAATTCCACCTCGAATGCTACTACTCTGATTCCAGATACATACATCCCTACCTGATTTCAACAATAACCTCATAATTATTCTCCTTAAACCAATAAGCAGAATTAAACCCCATACTTATTTTATTCACACATGCAACCAGAGCGATCTTTTCCAATGTATATCTAAAATCATGGGACCTTCTGCCTCCACCTTATGTTTAAACTCTCCAGTGGCATCTTATACCAAGCTACATAAAGACAAACATGCTTAAAATGGCCTATAGATCCTAATTTGTTGACCCCTGCCTATCTATTAGCACCATCTTGCACATCAACACCACACTGCCCAAACCTATAAATACCAGGGGAATCCTTTTTAATCAATCAACTTTTCCTTATTAGGTGGCTATGGTTCTTGAGTCCCCTTTGCTTCAAAGAGTTGTTTAGCCTGACCAGCATCACTGACTATAAAAGATATTCCATCACTCCTGGTGGTTACCAGGATGGATCTGCCACACAGCCAGCCCCTCTGTTGGTACTATTGCCAAGGTATAGAAAAGAGTATAGTCTGTTTGACAGCTATTATGCTTTGTTTAAATGCAATTTTAAATGCAGGAGTTTCTAAGTGTGTTATTCATGCCAGTGATTTCTGCAAAAAATAAACATTTTGTAAAACTGCTAAAAGACTTCACAAATTGAGCAAAGCAAAGAATTTTTTGCAGGACAAGAGGCAGCAGAATAAATTCTGAGAACTACCTAAAAGAACTACCTAAATTCACTCAGCGATGGGTACTCATTAAAAGTGCAAACTCTTGTGTTTAATCCAATACCTACTATATTAGAATCTCTTGGGGCCAGGAACCTAGAATCTGTATTTTAATAAGTACCTCAAGGTGATACTTTTCCACCTTAAATCAGTGAAAGTCAAATGAGAGAAGAATTCCCAGGATCAGGCCCTCAGGAATATCATTTAGAGGCCATGTAAAGACGATGGAAAGGACGAGAGAGGTTATAAAAAAGCCATCAGAGGCAGAAGATAAGCCAGAAGACAAGTGTCATGGAAGTCAAGAAAATGAGATTTTTTTCAAGGAGAAAGAGGCCAACTTAGATGAATAGTAATGTGTAGACTTGTAAGATGAGAACTTAATGTAACCGGCCTTCAGCTCCCAGCAACTTAAAAGTTTCTGTTTGATTTGGCAACATAGAAATAATTAATGACTTACTGTCACCAATTTCAGTCAAATGCTAGAGATGAAGGTCATAATAAAGTGGGCTAAACACTGATTGAAAAGAAAAACTGAGAACAACCCAGTACCCATCAAAAGGAGAATACACTTGTAAATATGATCAATTCACCCTATGAAATGCTATGTAAAAGTAAAAATGAATTAATTACAGCCACATAGTGCAATGTAGAAAAATCTTGATAGTATGAGTAAAAAATTATGTCTAAGAAGGCTACATTGAAGCAAGTCTTCATGTAATTTCAAAAATAATTAATATTAAATATATATTTTACACATGAATAATTATTTGATAAAATAATTTTAAGGTAAAGGAAATAATAAACATAAAATGTCAAAACTTGTTCCCTTTGATGTCAGTTAGACAGAAGAATGTGTTTTTAAAATCTATTGCACAGCATGATGACTATAATTAACAATAATGTAATGTGTATTTCAAAATTCCTAAGAGAGCAGATTTTAAATGCTCACACACACAAAAAAAAGTATTTGAGAGATAGACATGTTAGTTATCCTGATTTAATCATTCCATAATGTATACACATATCAAAACATCACACTATACCTCATGAATGTATACAATTACTATTTGTCAATTAAAATAAAATAAAAAGGAAAAAAATACTTGGTCCCTCTGAGGGATGGGAATGTAGGGGAATCGTATAAACAAACAGCACATAGAGATAGGTGAACATGTGTTGTTTCATTCCACATGTGTTTATAATATCATTTCTATCACATGTATTTATTATATCATGTAAAAGTAAATACATGGGTTCTGTTTCTGGCATGACAGCCTAAGAAGCTCCATGGAGTCCCCCCTCCCTAATGCTAGAAAAATTGGTAAAAAAAAAAAAAAATTTATGGAAAAAGAGCAACCATTTAAAGTCTCTGGAAAGGATCCTAAGGGCATACATCAAATGAAGAAATATTTGTTCAATAAAATCTACTAAAATGTGGTAAGAACAGCAAGAGCCCGCGGTTATTTCAACCAAGACCTATTCTTCCCTTTCTTTCCGCCCTCTCCTCCCCCGAGCTCTGTGAGATGGAAACTTCTCTCCAGGCTGGGACAGCTGAGAACACAGAGTTTTCTCTCCTACCCAGCTCCCAGTCAGAGGGCTCTGTTCGCAGGAAAGGCAGGGTGTCAGCGTTTCTCATCATTTCCCCAGCTACCTGTTGTTCATTTGAAGTTCAAGGTGAGTATAGCCAAGAGGTGCATGCTCCCTTCTTCTGTCCAGTCCCTACTTATAGGAGAGAGGCTCTATATTGTGTTAGATGCCACTGAAAATACTGAGCCACTAATCACCCTTACCCTGGTTCAGAGGTAGAGTTCATACACAGGGAGAGGCAAACCAAGAAGACTTGAGACCTCTGTCTGCCTCCAATGAGTGCTCAGCTCCTAAAGTGAGAGTGTGACTCAAAGAGAAGCACACCATTGTCCCCCGACTCCAGAGATTTTACCTAAGGGGAGAGAGCAGGCAGAAAAACACATATCCCCTAGCCTCTTTCCCATCAACAAAAAAACTGTCTTCATTATCAAGAGAGTGTGGAAAAATTCAGGCCTAAAAGCACCCTAAGAAACAGTGGAAGTTGTGGTGAAAGGCAACTGGGAGGAGACTGGCAGACGCATTGTACATACAGGCTACGCTGTCAGCTAGCTAGTTTGCCTAAGAGAACCAAGGAAAGAGACAGCTGGGAGGAGCCCTCTTGTGACAAACAATAACAACAACAGCAACAACCTTCAAACATTGAATTCAGAAACTATCCCTTTAAAGGTGATCAAATTTGATTGGGTAAGTCTGTGACACAGTTTATACCCAGGGCATTGTTGAAAACATGAATCAACTACCAAAATTACTGTCATCCCAGAGTGGCTATGACCACACCCAAGCCTGAAGAGCAACATGAAAGGCTTTGGACTGCATGGGAAGAATAGATGCCACTATAGTAATACAGTCAGTCAGTTAAATTTAAAAAAAAGAAACAAAAGAACAATAACAAGCCCCATAAGGGGGTGACCAGTGCTGAGTTGCTATATTATATAAAATGTCCAGATTCAGCAAAAAAAAAAAAATATGAGACATGCAAAGAAACAGGAAAACGTGACCTACACACTGGGAAAAAATCAGGCAAAAGAAACTGCCTGTTGAGAGGAACCAGATGTTAAGTTTAACAGATAAAGTCTTAAAAGAAGCCATTGTGAATAACTTCAAAGAACTAAAAGAAACCACAATTAAACAAGTAAAGAAATGTGTAATCACAAGGTCACATCAAATAAAGAATGTCAATAAAGATGTAACAATTACTAGGAAGGAGGAGGAAGAGGAAGAGGGGAGGGGGGAAGTCAGAATCCTGGAGTTGAAAAACACAACTGAAATGAAAAATTTATGAGAGAGGCTCAATAGTATATTTGAACTGGCGGAAGAAAGAATTAGAAACCTTGAAGATAGATTGATAAAAATTATGCAATTCAAGGAAAAAAGAAGAAATGAAAACAGCTTCAGAAAAGTATGAGATATTAAGTCATCAACACATACATAATGGGAGTACTAGAAGGATTACTACTAAACTATAGTAATCAAGATAAAATGGTGTTGATATAAGAATAAGCAATGGAATTTAGAGTCCAGAAATAAATCCTCACATTTATTGATTTTTTTTCACAAGGCTACCAAGACAATTCACTGGGCAAAAGAACAGTTTTTTCAACAAATGGTGCTGACACAACTGGATAGCAACATGGAAAATAATAAGTTAGACCCCTAACTCATACCATATATAAAAATTAACTCAAATTAGATCAAAGACCTAATTACAGGAGCTAAACTGTAAAACTCTTAGAAGACATAAAAGTAAATCTTTATGACCTCAGGTTTCACAATAGACTCCTAGGTATAACAGCAAAACCTAAATAGCAAATGAAAAATAGATAATTTGCACCTCATTAAGATTTAAAACATTTGTGCTTCGAAGAACACTATCAACAAAGTGAAAAAACAACCCACAGAATAGAAGAAAATCACTGATCACAAATCACCATAAAATACATGATAATAATGAAATTGAAATATTGCAAGAATTACCAAAATGTGATACAGGGACATGAAGTGAGTGCACGCTGTTAGAAAAATTGTGCCAATAGACTTGCTCAATGCAGGGTTGCTACAAACCTTCAATTAAAAAAATAAAAAGCAGTATCTGTGAAGCTCAATAAAGCAAAAATGAGGTATGTCTATATTTGCTTACTGTTCCAACCTTTAAAAGTATTAACTTATTTAATCCTCAAAACAATCCTATGAGGTAGGTATAATTAATTTCCCAATTTTTCAGATAAGAAAAAATGAGGCTTACATTAAATAAACTGCCTAACATCACAAAACTAATATTTGGAGGAGCCACCTCCCAAACAAAGGCAAAAGATGCAAATAAATCATTTAACCTAATCTTAGTATTATTACCTTAAATCATAGACTTATTTATAATAGTCTGTTAATCTGTTTTTTATTTCGAATAATATTCTAAATGAATACTTCATGTGTAATTATTTGTTGTTTTTGTACTTGTAATTCTCAATTAGAAAGTTATTTTACTAGATAAAGCAAAACTTGAATGGTGTACATCTATCTCTCTGACCATTTAGACTATAAAGCAATAGTCCACATATCACCCTCCTCAGGTTGATTAAAATGTGTATTTGTGTATGTTTAAATGTATTCATAAATACTTCTCTTATTCTACAAAGATTTAAAATGACTTCCGGGAAAGAAAATAAAAAATATCAATATATGAGTTAAAAATGTCAAGACAAAAAAATCTAAATTAGATTAAAAGATCAAGCCTCCAGATAGAAGCCTCTGGGCTTCTTGCAGGAGTGACTTTGAGCAGAGCCATGATGTATACATGAACCATTAAGAAGCACATTCTCAGAGTAAACAGGGGTGCACAATATGAAATCTCATACTGATCACATATGCCAGTGTGATTGCAGGGTTTATTTTTAGGAGTTTCATTTGGGGATCTTTTTCCAAACTTCGTGAGGCAGTTTTTCAGTTGTTTCTCATTGACCACTGATAGCTGGATGTGCCATTTTAAGCTTGATGCTAGATATATCAAGTTTACTTTTCTGAGTGTCTTTATAAAATCAATTATGACAGTATCATTTCTCTGATTTAATATGCTTCTCAAAACATTTTTTCTTTATTTTGGCACATTTTTTCTACTGTTTATTATCATGGGGAAATGAATCTGGAGAGCATTTTACACAAAATTGTCTGGTTTCTGGAACTCAATACATTTTATAGTGCTTGAAACATTTCATTGTCCGTGCTGGTCATTTTGCTTTCCTCAAACATAAACTTATATTGATTCATGATATACGATGCTCCTTTTTCATTATTCCAGCTAGGTGCACTTTCAGATTCTTTTTTCCCCAAAGTTTACTCTTCACAAAAGCATTAAATATAGCATGAGATGGAGTTCTGTGACTTTGTCACAAAAGTAATAATTTTCAGCTAAGGATGCAGTTTCAGTTTTTATTATAGTCCACATTCTGAATATTATATTTGCAGATTTGTGTCAACTTTCCCCACGTCTTTTCTCAAGAAATATATTACACTAATGTTGGCAACTTATAAATCTAGAATTATTATGTGTAAAAAATATTCTGAAGAAAAGAGATACTGGTACCTAATGCTATCCTTAAATGGGAACATAATGGAACTATACAAATATTAGTCAATTAAAATTTAAACCTGAAGCTGGAGAACCAAGTGACAAGGGTAAGAAAGATACTATTTTTCCCAGGAAACCAAATAACTTGACTTTAGGTCAACCTTGTGGAATGCAGTCAGGAAAAACAAAATAAGAAATGAGATGCAACTGGCACGAAGACACTGCAGGAAAAAAAAAAAGTGGCTCAGTAACTCCAGAGTAAGAAGAGGATACAGGTACACATTGCCCCTTTATTACATGGAAAGAAAAGCAATAATAGCAAATACCTAAGAGCCATAAGTTTAAAATTGTTTTGTTGAGGATTTTTTTTTCCAAACTGAGTCAAGCCTCACCGCTGAGATGAAAAACTTAGAAAAATGGCTAGTACCTTGAAGAAACTATCTTAAGTGATATCAATATTGTGAATTCCTATTGTACTTATTGTCTAGATACGCTAATTTAACAAAAACATATATTGTCCTGATTTTTATCTGATTGTTTCATACTTAAACACACATACTTACACCTGTATGTTAGTATATTCTAATTTGATTATAAATTTCTTGAGTGGGGAAATGATTTTATACTGATTTGACATATACCAGTTTTCAACTCAGAACAAAGAAGATAGCAGATAGTCCAAAATATTTGTTAAATTGAATTATGATGGGTAAAACATCTGATTAAATGTATGAAAAATGCCTTTCAGGAGATCTGACTTTCAGAAATGTAAAATATAATACACTGTAGCAGCTTCTATTTAATCTCGATTATTCTGATGATGTCTTAGATATATATTTTCATTATAAACTTAAGGGCTTTTAGTTTTTAATTTTTTGTTAAATATGAGGGAAAACGCAGAAAGATTTAGTCAAAGAGGGACTTTTCATTGAAAAATTGTAGACAATCAGTTTGGATTGTTCATAATTTTTAAAAAATCAGCATTCATTGTATACCTCATACAACCAGTGGACATAAAATGATTCAAGTACAGAAACAAGAGCTGCTATACCCAGAAAAGGATTTTAACTGCATTTCTCAAGGGGAGCAATGGCAATCATTCGCTTTCAGCTCTGACCCAACCTAGGAGTTCCTGTTCCATCAAAAAAGCCTCCCCAGCCCGCTAGGCAGGCAGAATGCCGATCATGAAGAACACAAAGACAGCATGCAGAGAGCTCAGAAACAGAGCTTCAAGATCTGAAAACCCAAAAGGAAGTCACTCCCAGGGTGGTAAATTATCAATACTAGAGACCAGCAGATAACAAAAAGAAATCACAGAAGAGCTGCATCCTTTCGACAGGTTAGTGAGCAGTATATTTATAATGTAGATTTAAAGCTACCGTATACCAATGGCCTGATCTTTTTTTTCTTTTTTGTGATTAGTAATAAGGGCCTGGATCTAGAGGTGGGTATAGCCCCATGAAAGACAGCACAAGACAAGGATGGTTTAAGACATACTGAAGATTATTCTAGACCAGGGCCAGCTAAAACAAAGACACAAATTGAGCCCAGCCAGAAAACAAACAAAAATATTAGTTACAAGATATTATTGTTCATCATATACAAGTATCCTGAAGTGGAGGTATTGTAGTGTGGTGGACTGAGTGCACTGAGCAGAGAGAGTTGGCTCAGATCCTGGCTCTGGTGCTTTCTATTTGATCCTGGAAACAGGAAACTAACCATCCTGTGTCTCAGTAGCGCTTACTTCACATGCTGTGAAAATTACATGCAGTTATTTGAAAGCCCATACTCTGGTAAGTGGACAGCAAGTAGTACCTGTTTTTATTATGTTCTTTATCCTGTTGTTATAGTTATTCTTCTTTTGAGACAAATGAATAGGATTTTGTTCATGGTTCTCATTCTCTAGTGTCACTTCAGTTACTTTCAAATATGCCTAAGTTTTCTTTGTAAATCCAGAGTTACAGTTACATCTCCAAAGTCAAGAAGCAAAATGAGTAAGTAAATCCTACTCCATAGAGGTGGCCTAACAAACCAGTGCCTGTTCTGGGATGCCATTGAAAATAATGGCAGGGGTTTTCACTATTTTTCTCAGCCTTTGTCTTGATAATTGTAAGAGTCCAGGAGGCCAGTGATGATTATTGGAAGGCATAGCAAAAGCACCACTGTTTTATTACAATTTTTAGATCCAAGAACATTAGACATCAGAATCTTTAAAATACCCTGTGTAGAGGGTTCAATATAAACTACGTAGTAAATGCTATTTCATCATTGAAGAAAGAAGGAACAGGAAATTATACAGGTCAATCAACTTCAAAATAATCATGTTAATTATTAAATAAAATAATGCGCTTGTTTCTCTTCAAATGATACTAAATAAAGCTAAATCCTAGACTCTATAGTAAACAGCATAATGTGAATTACAGCAAAACACTGAAGATTCAGATTTGACACTTTTAAGCCTCTAATTGACATACCATCATTTGATAAGTGAAGTTGCTCAATTACTGTTACTTCCTTTGAACTGGTGCTACTTTAGAAGACACAATTATCAGAAACGTTTGACTGTCACTGTCACTAAGTATGTGTTATTCACTTTTGAGAAGGGGAGTTAGAAGATCTGGAGCAAAAATGCCAGACAGTCAGCATCACTGAACCCCTTGCACCTCTACACTTTGCCCTCACCTGCTTCCACCTCACTGTCTCCTTCCAGAAGGGAGTGATGTTCCTGCAATGAGTCATTTGGGCTCAGTGCATTGCAACCCTGAACTCTTGGAAGACACTTTTCTCTTCTTGATCTGTTTGGCTTAATATGCGCATCAAAAATGAAATAAAATAAAACAAAAATAAAGAAGTAATATAAGGCCCAAGAGTAAATACTAGACCACAGCTATCATAAAGAAGAGTTCAGCCAGGCACGGTTGCTCACTCCTGTAATCTTAGCACTTTGGGAGGCCGAGGCGGGCGGATCGCTGGAGCTCAGGAGTTTGAGACCAGCCTGGCCAACATGGCGAAACACCAGCTTTACAAAAAATATAACAAAAAAAAAAAAATTAGCCTGGTATGGTGGCACACGCCTCTAGTCCCACATGCTCAGGAGGTTGAGGAGGGAGAATCACTTAAGCCCAGAAGGTCAAGGCTGCAGTGAGCCATGATCGCACCACTGCACTCCAGCCTGGGCAACAGAACAAGATCCCATCTCAAAAAAAAAAAAAACAGTTATGTTTTCTACTGTGTGTACATGTGTGTGTGTCAAGAGGGAAGATTCTGCTGGTGATTTAACTACTCTCTTTAAGTACTATTCATGCAGCTATGTTCCCATAGAACATTCTACTCTGGCTTCAAATTTGTTTACACATAAAAATATGTCTTCAGATTTAATTTGTGATGTATTCTAATAAGCATATATCGAAAGAATCACCTGGTTATATGCCAGTGGAGTGATTACTTACTGCCCAGTTACTTGCACAGGGCCACATTTTTCAGTTCCTGGAAATAGAGTTGGCAACATTACCATTTTTTAGAATTACCTATTTGCCCAAAATAGTGTATTTTTACTATGCCAATTGTAATTTGATAGAGAAAACGACATTTGGTTTCAGAATTTCTCAAATCTAGCAAAGATTTCAAACACTTCTAACAACAAGTTTAAGAACAAGAAAAAAAATGACTAAAATAACTTACTTCCACACTTTCCACAGGTTTCTTGCAGAAGTTAGAACTAAGAAGACTTTTCCTTAAAAACTATTCGTTTGAAAAGTTTGAACGACTGGATGAAAATGATTGACAGAATGTTTCCTTCAAAATAAGTGACTGCCACATATAGCTCAGTGCCATTCACAGGGAAAGCCCTTAATAAATGCCTGTTGATGGATGTATATATTTTAAGTACATATTCCATTAGCATCACTGTTCTACATTCTTTGTACCATAACATTCCAATTAAACATGAAGTGGCAGTATTTTGCAATTGTGGCTTCAGGTTCAATCATTTAGCCAGTCGACAAACATTTATTAAGTTCCTGCTACGCATTTATTTATTCACTCAATGCCTGCAGTACGCCAGGCACTGGCCTTAGCTTGGGAGACTCAACAGTGTATCCAATTGAAAGTTTCCATTTCCTCCAGAAATTTGCAGACTGCTGATGACAGAGAAGAAATAAACAAGGAAGCAAATAAATACATTTGTAAGACTATTCAAGTATTGCTAAGTGCATAAAACCGAATAATGAGATACAGTTTGACTTGAAGGAGAGGGAAGACCCACTTTAGGCATCAAAGACAGAAAAAGTTTCTCTGAGAAATTGGCTTCTGAAATCAATATAGTTAGCCATTCAAATACTTAGAGAAAGAAATTTCCAGGTAGACAGAAGAATTGGGGTAAAGGCATGGAAATGAGAATGATTTTAGTTACATCAAGTAACAAAAAATATATAAATGGCTGAAGAAAATGATAAGTATTTTGATTTCATCTTAACTGCAATGAGAAGACATCTGAGGATGCTCTTAAGTCCAGTTTATTAAAGAATCCTTTGCCCACACACACAAAGCACTCACTTTAAGGATACAGTTAATAAGTTTTAGCAAATGTATAGAGTCAGGTAACCAACACCCCACCATCATAATTAAAATATAGAATATTTCCATCACTCTAAAAAGTTGCCTCATGCCCTTTTGCAGTCAATCACAAGCCACTGGAAAACATTATAATTCTGTCATATAAATGGAATCATAAAGAATGTCAAATAAATAAAATCTTACAGTATACAGTATGCAATCTTCTGGCTTCTTTTACTTAGCATAATGCTTCTGAGATTTGTCCGTCTCATTGCATGTTGATTTTGAGATTCTACTGGATACCTAACAAGCAGTGTTGATTCAGCAGCTAAGTATAGAAGACTACACAAAAGACAACAAGTATTGACAATGATGTGGAGAAAAGGAAACCCATGTTGGTGGGAAGTAAATTGGTACAGCTATTACAGAAAACAATATGGAGGCTCCTCAAATGATTAATAGAACCATTCTATGATCCAGCAATTCCATTTCTGGTTCTATAGCCAAAGGAAATGAAATCAGTATCTTGAAGAGATATCTACACCCCCATGTTCATTGCAACATTATTCACAATAGCCAAGATACAAAGTCAACCTAAGTGTTCATCAATGGATGAAAGAATAAAGAAAATGGGTGTATATACACAATGGAATATTATTCAGCCTCAAGAAAGAAGGAAATTCTGCCACTGGCAACAAAATGGGTGAACCTAGAGGACATTATGCTAAGTGAAATAAGCCAAGCACAGAGGGACAGATATTGCAAGTTCTCCTTCATATGTGTAACGTAAAAAGTTGAACTTATGGAAACAGAATAGAACATTTACATAAGTTAAACTTATAGAAACAGCATTACCAGGGGCTGGGAGGTGAGAGAAATGGGGAGATGTTGATTTTATATATATATATAAAATTTTTATTTGACTTTAATAAAGCTGGGAGAAAAAAGTATATCCAGCAGGTCCTCAAATATGTCTTTTCATCCAATGTTGTTTCATTTTAAAATTAATGAGAAAAAAATGTGATTCCCAGCCAGGGCCACTGTGTGTGTGGAGATTGCATGTTCTCCCCATTTCTGCATGGGTTTTCTCTGGGTACTCCAGTTGCCACCTACATCCCAAAGATGTGCATGGCAGGTGAATCGGCGTATCTCTATGGTCCCAAGTCTGAGTGAGTGAGTGTGTGTGTGTTTGAGTGTGCCCTGCAATGGAAGGGCAGCTGTCCAGGTTTCGCTCCCATCTTGCACCTGGAGCTGCTGGGATAGGATCCAGCCACCAGCGATCCTCAACTGGAATAAGTGGGTAAATAATTATCTTACTTGTCTTATTAATCTTTCTGTAATGTATGTATAGCTCATATTTATCTCAATACTTAATATTAGAAGTGTCTTGGTCTTTATTTGGAAGTTTGGTGATGGTTTTGTGACCAGAAATATGTCATAGGAACTTAACTCTTGTTTACACCAATTAACTTATGGTAAAATTATTTTCATTAGGCATTGTTTTGCTTAAAGCTGCACTTTCCAAGAACCTATTGACAATGTTAAGTGAGGGCTTTCTGTGCAAGTCTGGAGTTCAAGGCAAAGATCAGATCAGGAGAAAAAATCCTGAAGTCTAGATAGTATTTAAAACCATGGGATTAGGTGATATCACCAAACCACATCTAGATAGTATTTAAAACCATGAGGTTAGGTGATATCACCAAAGGAAAAAAATGAAAGATCAAGCCCTGGGGTCCTACACATGTTAAAAAGAGGTGAAGGAGGCAGAGATTAAGGAAAAATATCCAGTGAAGATGAAAGAAGGTAAGTAAGAAGCCCAAAGAAGGCGGCATTTCAAAAAGGAGAGGATGGTTAACTGTGCCAGGTATGAAGTAGAATGAGAACTTGCCATTGATTTGTCAAGGTAGAAATCACTGATTACCTTAATAAGTGCAGTGTGAATGGCCCTGTGCCAGACATTGAAAAATGCTTGGCAAAACTATAGAGTCAGTACAAAGATCGGTGGTTGCCAGGAATTATAGAGAGGGAAAATCAACAGGTGGAGTACAGAAAATTTTTAAGACAGTAAAAACACTCTATGATACTATAATGGTGGATACATGTCATCGTACATTTGTCCAAGCTCATAGAACATACAACAGAAAGAGTGATCCTTAATGTGAACTATAGACTTTGAGTGACAATGATGTGTCAATGTAGGTTCATCAGTTATAATAACTGTACCATTCTGGTGGGGATATTGATAATGCAGAAGACTGTGAATAATGGGGAGAAGTGGGGCAGGGGGTATATGGGAAATCTCTGTACCTTCCTCTAAATCTTGCTGTGAACCTAAATTTGCTCTGAAATAAATAGCACCTTTAGTTTTTAAAAAGTGCTTGGAATGCCACTGTGAATAAAGCAGAAGTAATAACACCCAGCCTCTTGGAAATTGCAGTCTAATATGTGTGCCTTCAGTTTGGTTCTTTATTAACTGCATACAGCAACTGGGAATTGAACATGTAACTAACTATTCAGCAGAAGAGTTTAGAACTCTGGAGAAAATTTGAATTCTTTGGTTCTTCCTCTTTTCCCCGCAACAAAAATTTTAATACAATTTCACTAAGGAAAATGGAACATTATCATCTTAATGCTAATCATGGTCGGGTGGTAGATAATCATTTTCCTTATCTGATATTTAGAGATATTTATCCTTTTATGAATTAATAATTCAGAATGTGTTTGAAGACATAACCAATTAGCTGTAGTAATTTGCATTTTAATGTTTTTTCATTAGTTTCCTAAGTCCTTTTCCCTGGTTTCTGTAACAAAAATGCTATCTTTCAAAGGTGAATAGCTTTTTTGTATTTGCTTGGTAATGAGCTTTCTTTAATTATCATTTGGCCAATTTTATAGATTTCAAAGAAAATATAGCTATTAGCGTTGAAAGACTGGCAAGCCCATGTGTATTAGCCAGGTTCTCTAGAGAAACAGGACCAACAGGATATATGTAAAGAGATTTGTAATAAAGAATTGACTCATGTGGTTATGGAGGCAGGCAAGTCCCAAGATCTTCAGGGTGAGTCAGCAAGCTGGAGACTGACTCAGGAGAGTCGATGGTGTTTCAGCCTGTCTGAAAGCCTGAGAACCAAGAAAGCCAATGATATAGTTCTTAGCAGCAGCAGGCTCAAGACCGAGGAAAAGCCAGTATTTCATTTTGAGTCTAAAGGCAGGAAAATAAAAAAAATTGATACCCTAGTTTGAAGGTGTCAGACAGGAATAATTCTGTCTTGTTTGAGGGAGGGTCAGCCTTCTCAAACTAGTCAAGCCTTCAACTGATTAGATGAGGCCCACTCACATTAGGGAGGACAATCTGCTTTACTCAGTCTACCAATTCCAGGGTTAATCTCATCCAAAAACACCCTCAAAGAAACACCCAGAATAATGTCTGACCAAATAGCTGAGCATCTCATGACCCAATCAAACTAACATAAAATTAACCATCACACTGTGTGATACTTTCATTCTTTAGCTTGGTGCCAGAATTCTTTTTCCATTTAAATGTAATCAGTAGATTTTGTTATTTGTTGTTGTTTCTAGATATTGTGGTGGTTGTTATTTTATTGCTTTTGCTAAGCTTTTATGTGAATTGAACACGGACCAATATTCACCAAGCATCAACTATGAACTCCACAGAGTGCTGTATACTTAACTTATTTAATCCAAACCTCACTGGTATATTCCCTACAGGGCATTTCAGGAAGACAAATGACAAATGAGCATAAGACACCACACAAGTGAAACCATGCATCATAAAATTATTTCTTCCACCAAATGCACACAGATTTTTATTCTCAGGCCTGACTCACCAAGGGCAAAAAGGACTGAGATAGAGATGTGTGTGGTATAGTATAAATCTAACTGACAAGCTTTTAAAACATAAGTCCATTATTGTCATTAATAAATGTTAGTTAAGTACACTGGAAACACCATTAACCATCTGTGGTTTAATTGTTAATTGTTCAATAAGCAAACTTTCACTCTGAGTGGTATCTTTAAGCCATGCAGGGGTTTCCTCTAATCACCTGGTTTATGAAAACTCGTGAAAGTAGGTTGTAAATATTTATAGATTTATGTCAACAAAATAAGTCTCATGGTTCTCTACAGCAGCATAAAGGAAAAGAAGAGAAACAACATATAAACTAAAATAAAAACTGAAAAGAATACATCCTTCACAAACATTAACTCAAAATGGAAGGTAGGCCTAATTATAAATCACAAAACTATAAAACGCTTAGAAGATAACATAGGAGAAAACCTAGGTAACCCTGGATATGGTAATGACCTTTTAGATACAGCACAAAGGTACAATCCATGAAAAAAATAACTGATAAGCAGGACTTATTAAAATGTAAAACTTCTGCTCTGCAAAACACATAATCTAGAGAATGAGAAAACAGCCACCAGCTGGGAGAAAATATTTGCAAAACACATATCTGATAAATAACTATTATCCAAAATATACAAAGAATTCATAAACTCAACAATAAGAAAACAAACAATCCAATTAAAAATGGGTTAAAGATCCTGAACAGACACCTCACCAAATACGATGTACAGATGGCAAATAAGCTTATGAAAACATGCCTCACAGCATATGTCATCAGGGAGACACAAATTAAAACAACGAGATATCCCTATACACCTATTAGAATGGCCAAAATTCAAAACACTGATAACACCAAATGCTGTTGAGGATGTGGAACAACAGAAACTCTCATTCATTGCTGATGGAAGTAGAAAATGATATGGCCACTTTGGAAGACAGTTTGGTGGCTTCTCCCAAAACTAATCGAATTCATGTTGCGAGAAGTCAGGGACCCCGAACGGAGGGACCTGCTGAAGCCCTGAAGCCGTGACAGAAAAACATAAATTGTGAAGATTTCATGGACATTTATTACTTCCCCAATCAATACCCTTATAACTTCCTGTGCCTGTCTTTACTTTAATCTCTTAATCCCATGATCTTTGTAAGCTGAGGACGTATGTCCCTCAGGACCCTGTCATGATTGCGTTAACTGCACAAATTGTTCATAAAGCATGTGTGTTTGAACAATATGAAATCTAGGCACCTTGAAAAAAGAACAAGATAACAGCAATATTCAGGGAACAAGGGAGATAACCATTAGGTCTGACTGCCTGGGAGCCAGGCAGGACAGAGCCATATTTCTCTTATTACCAAAAACGGGTAAGAGAAATATCACTGAATCCGTTCCCCAGTAAGGAATATTAATAATTAACAGCCCTGGGAAAAGAATGCATTCCCGGGGGGGCCTCTAAAATGGCCGCTCTGGGGGGTGCCTGCCTTATGCAGTTGCAGATAAGGGATGAAACACGCCCTGGCCTCCTACAGCGCTCCCAGGCTTGCTAGGATTAGGAAATTCCAGCCTGGCGAATTCTAGTCAGACCAGTTCTCTGCTCTTGAAACCTGTTTCCTGCTAAGATGTTTATCAATGACAATGTGTGCCCAGTGGGACATGGACCTTCATTAGTAATTCTAGTTTCACCCTGGCCTTATGACCTTGCCCTGCCCATTTGCCTTGTGATATTTTGTTGCCCTTGAAGTATGTGATCTCTGTGACCCACACCCTATTCGTACACTCCCTCCCCTTTGAAAATTACTAATAAAAACTTGCTGGTTTTATGGTTCAGGGGGCATCAGGGAACCTGCTGACATGTGATGTCTCCCCCAGACACCCAACTTTAAAATTTCTCTCTTTTGTACTCTTTCCCTTTATTTCTCAGGCCGGCTGACACTTAGGAAAATAGAAAAAGAACCTACGTTGAAATACTGGGGGCTGGTTCCCCCGATACTTACCACGTGATCTAGCAATGATGCTCATTGATATTGACCCAAAGGAGCTAAAAAAATTATGTCCACATAAAAACTTGCACGCAGATGTTTATAGCAGTTTTATTCACAATTGCTGTATTAGTCCGTTTTCATGAGGCTGATAAAGACATACCAGAGACTGAGTAATTTATACAAGAAAAAGGTTTAATGTGCTTGCAGTTCCACGTGTCTGGGGAAGCCTCACAATCATGGCAGAAGGCAAGGAGGAGCAAGTCACATATTACATGGATGGCAGCAGGCAAAGAGAGAGAGCCCTTGTGCAGGCAAATTCCCATTTTTAAAACCATCAGATATTGTGAGACTTATTCACTATCACAAAAACAGTACGGGAAAGATCTGCCTCCATGATTCAATTACCTCCCACCAGGTTCCTCCCACGAAACGTGGGAATTTTAGGGGTACAATTCAAGATGAGATTTGGGTGAGGACACAGCCAAACCATATCATTCCACTCGGCCTCTCCCAAATCTCATGTCCTCACATTTCAAAACCAATCATGCCTGCCCAACAGTCCCCCAAAGTCTTAACTCATTTCAGCATTAACTCAAAAGTTCACAGTCCAAAGTCTCATCTGAGAAAAAGCAAGTCCCTTTTGCCTATGAGCCTGTAAAATCAAAGGCAAGATACAATGGGGGTACAGGCATTGGGTAAACACAGCCTGTGCCAAATGGGAGAAATTGGTCAAAACAAAGAGACCACAGGCCCCATACAAGTCTGAAATCCAGCAGGGCAGTCAAATCTTAAAGCACCAAAATGATCTCCTTTGACTCCATGTCTCACATCCAGGTCATGCTGTTGCAAGAGGTGGGTTCCCTTGTTCTTGGGCAGCTCTGCCCCTGTGGCACTTCAGCCTCCCGAGTAGCTGGGATTACAGGCATGCACCACCATGCCCAGCTAATTTGTGTGTTTTTAGTAGAGACAGGGTTTCACCATGTTGGCCAAGCTGGTCTCAAACTCCTGGCCTCAAGTGATCCACCTGCCTTGGCCTCCCAAAGGGCTGGGTTTATAGGTGTGAGCCACCATGCCTGGCCAATGTTTGGCTTTCTTAGACTTCCCCTTCTTAACACACACACTACTCTAAATACTAGGTCTTTAATTCCATAAATGCCCCCCACAGATCTGTAACCAACAGTCTTGCCACAATAACAAACAGCACCAAAATCTCAGTTGCCTGATACACACAAAGGTCTGATGCATGTCTGGATGATATCCTCAATCCAAGTGCTCAAAGATGGCTCAGGGATCTGCCTGCTTCCACCTTATGATACTCCCTCTCACACATTCCAAGACTCACCACAGCAGGGGAAGAGAACATGGGAGGGTTCCATGCCACAAATGAAATGCTTCAGCATAGAAGCCACAGTCATCTCACTATCCAAAGGCCAGAACCCACTGCATGGGTGGCAGGGAAGTGTCCTTCTCTCATGTGCCCAGAAGAGGAACATCAGAAATGGGTGGGCACTGGAAGTTTTGATATACTAGTCTTAACTAAACAGTGTCCAAGCTCTCAACCCTTCTTACTCTGCAAAATCTGCCCAGAATCTGAATTGTAAAGGTGACAAAAACTTTACATTCTCACACTTCTGTCCCCTCTTGATATAGTTAGCAATTTAAGTAAGAAGAAAGGCCTTATCCTGGGTCCTCTCATGACATCAGAGAGGACATCTTTGATCATTTGTATGATTTTTTCCATGCCATGACTCTTCTACTCTAAGTTGAACTCTTTTCTTCTCAACTTCAGACTCATATCAAATGTCTGCTTGATAGCTCCACTTGTGTGGCTAATAAATATCTCAAACCAATGTGTCCCAAACTGAACTCCTTAGTTTTATGCAAAAATCTGCTCCACAAATCTCAATTGATGGTAACTCCATTTTTCTAGTTTCTCAGGCCAAAATCTTGGTGTTATCCCTGATTCCTCTCTATCACACCCCACATCCAATCCATCAGGAAATTCTTTTGGCTCTAACTTCAAAATATATTCATGGCTGACATAAACTGACCAAGTCATCATTTTGGTGTTTTAGTGCCTCTTCCACAAGGGAGACTCTCTGGTATATATCAACACATGATGCAAATATCTTCACACTCTTGCCTCCTTCCATACATTCATCCACGAGCCTCTTCCCCAGACCTCTTTGTCCCCAATCTGCTAATCTCGCTCCTTCCAGAACATGATCAACAAGCTAAGTCATTTACCACTGCCCATCAGTCCACATTCATTCTTCCCTTGGGCAATTTCTCTTCCTACACAAAATGAATTACCAAGTATAAAGCCCAAAATTGTGCCCACTGGGAAATTTACCTTCCCCACTGTCTTTCAGGGACACTTGGAATGGGGCTGCAATGCAGCAGCAATGTTGACATTTACAAACATGCCAGGACAACCCATCCATGAACCAAGCTTGGATTTTTCTCACCTGTCAGCTGGTCATAAGAAACCCCATGAGACCTAGATGTGAACAAGAGAGAAGGCAATGGTGCAACTGTGATGGGTGGCATGGGAATTTGGGTTTCTGTTCTTGCAACCTACCTGTACTCTCTTCCTTCCGAAGCCTGATACCAGATGTACTCCTTTCATACTATGACAGATGATTCATGAATCCAACTTGGTGAGTCTAACGGTACCTAGCACATGATAGGAATTTCTAGCCTACCACTTTCTGTCTTCTGCTAGGGTCATAACATGACAAGATCTGTTTTCCAAGTGATATGTGGTTCTCTGTTGCAGAGAGCATGCACTTGCTCCAGAAGACTAGGGATCTACTCCACACTCTCCTGTTGGAGCTTGGCACTGCCTTCAGTGCAGCATCCTTGTCTCCCACAGATATCTCTAATACTCTGAGGTCTTCCAGATCATTTTGCCCAAGCAACATGTCTGCTTGTGCCACAGCCTGGATGTGCTATGGAGAACTTTCTTGCTCTGGACCCCACTCAAAATTAACTGTTTTTCCCATCACCCCATAAAATGGTTGGAGTAGTATCTACAAGTGCAAAATATGCTGCCTCCAAAACCTGAGGAGGCTTTCCAAGTTTTATACTGCTTCCTTAGTTATTTGGTGAACCCCTGAATCTGTAGAGTTTAACTCCCACTCTCTGAAACACAACCATCTTACTAAGGCATCCAGAGTGCCTGCTACTTGTAGCTCCTGTGATGGTTAATTTTATAGGTCAACTTGAGTGGGTGCAAGACTGCCCAGATATTTGATTAGAAAATATTCTGAGTATGCCTGTGAGGATGTTTCTGGGTGATATCAACTTTTAACTCAGTAAACTGAATAAAGCAGATTGGCCTCCCCAGTGTGTGTGGACCTCATCCAATCTGTTGAAGGACTGAATAGAACATAAAGGCTGAGTAAGGGAGAATTTGTTCTCTCTGCCTGATTGCCTTCACGTTGGAACTTTGGTCTTCTCCTGCCTTTGGACTTGTACCCAGACTTGAACTATACCACCGGCTCTTCTGGGTCTATGGCTTGCTGCAGATCAAGGGGTTTCTCAGCCTTCATAATCACTTGAACCAATTCCAGTCAATCAGTCAGTCAATTAAACCTATTGGTTCTGTTTCTCTGGAGAACCCTGACTAATACGAGGGTCTACTCTAAACTTACAAGTATTGTACACTCCAAGAAACACTTATAATGGTACATTTTTTTTAATGTCAGGTCAAGAAAGAGACCATGAAAGAAAGGAAAATGGTGTTCTCTTACTTTTTAAACAAGAATTCCACTTTTTACAACTTTTAAGTTCAAGGGTCCATGTGCAGGTTACACAGGTAAACTTGTGTCATGGGAGTTTGTTGTACAGATTATTTCATCACCCAGGTGTTAAGCCTAATATCTATTAGTTATTTTTCCTGATCCTCTCCCTCTTCCCATCTCCGCCCTCCAAAAGGCTCTAGTGTGTGTGATTCCCTTCTATGTGTCCATGTGTTCTCATCATTTAGCTTCCATTTATAAGTGAGAACATGCAGTATTTGGTTTTCTGTTCCCGCATTAGTTTGTTAAGGATAATGGCCTTCAGCTCCATCCATTTCCCTGCAAAGAACGTGGTCTCATTCTTTTTAATGGCTGTATAGTATTCCATGGTGTATATGTACCACATTTTGTTAATCCAATCTGTCATTGATGGATTTAGGTTGACTCCATGTCTTTGCTCCTGTGAATAGCGCTGCAATGAACATACACATGTATGTGTCTTTATAACAGAATAATTTATATTCCTTTGGAATCCCACATTTTTTATTTGCACCAAACTCTGCCACTAGATTCTTCATTTCTGAAATAGTATCTCCTATTGTCAGCCCACAGAAGAAGGCAAGCTTCTTAGCAATGCTGATGTCCCCTCTGCATGGTGTATCCCTTATGACCTTGGCAGAGTGTTTCCTCCCAAGGAAGACAGTCAGCTGGCAAGTGTTCAAGTCTCCCATATTAGAGTACTCTTTACATGCCTGCTTCTCTCTACTCATTTTTCCTTTTCTCCACAGTCTGCCCTGGCTGTTCTGACATCTCTACTTCTTTTCATGTGGCCCATCACTTTTTCCAAGCCTCCTGATCTATCCCAGTGATACATTAGAAATCATCTTCTGGGTTCCTTTCCACGGTGCTAAATGCTGTATCACAAGAACATGCCCCCATATTGACAATTCTTCATTACCCACCTTTAGTCTCCCCCCTTGATCCAGAACCCCCATATCCACTCTCAGTCATCCTCCTCACTGATTTGGGTGAACCAGGTCCATCTGCTCCTTTGGTCGTCCCAATACCCACCCAGTTGAGTCTTGCTGAGATATAGCCCTGGTAATTGGTCTGGTGACCAGGAAGAAAATAGGGGAAGATCCTAAGAAAGCCAGGATTGTCTTATAAAGCACCTACTTTATTGGAGGTTTCTGCATTGTCTTCAAGTAAAGGGGAGGGGGTGGTTCTATCTTCCAATAAAGGGGAAAGTCCACAAGGTTCAGAGAAATTGTCAATTCAGGGTGCTCTTGTGTATCTACATAGACACCATCCCAAATCTCATGGTACACTCTTTCCCTATCAGGCTCTGGCTTTGGTCTAGGGTAAAAAAGGTTAAACCCTGTTGAATGCAGTCAAATATCATCAGACTAATTATCAGACTTGCTGTCTAAGAATTAGCCTCCTGACAGCTCATCTACATCACTCTATGTGCGAAATTAACCTATTTGTTACTCAAACCTCACAGCCTCTCTGTTCCAAAGCTGTCTTGATAACACCCCTATCCTTGCAATAACCCATGCTCAAAACTCAAAGTATCTCTTTCAATCCCTCTATTTCTCAAAAAGTAAAATCTATCTCACAATTTTGCACTTCCGTGACTTCCATGTGTAATTCCTCGCTGCCACTTTTGCAATTTCTCTTTGTCATCTTCACTTCCATCACCCAAAGTCACGTTCCCTTTTATTGATTAGAACCTCCTCACTGGTCTTGCTACCTCTAGATAACCTTCATATTTATCTTGTATATGAACATCAGATTAGTCCTCCAGCAGCCAACCTGTGTCATATGATGAGACTTTTCAAAAACTGTCAACAATAAATACTAAAGTACAACCCCTTTAAAGAGCTAATCAGTGTCCTCCATGACCTGACTCTACTCTGGCATTACATAACCTTCCCTTTTATTTTTTACAAGTATTTCCCTCTGTACATCACTCTTCCTAAATTGTGTGACCTTATTCTCCATCCTTTCCTCACCCTTTCCTCCCACTGTTTATCTACTAGCTCTATTAGCTTGTGTGGGAAATCCACTTACATTCAACCTCCATGATGCAGTCTGGTGAGGAATAGAGCTCTATGGTTAAATGGCCAGACTCTAGAGCCAAACTGCACCACTTATTGCAAGCTATTTAATCTCTATGCCTTCGTTTTGCTTCCTGAAAAAATGGGGATTGGGGCAGAAGAAGTGAGAGAATAATAGCATCCACCTTACAGGGTGTTTGCAAGAATTAAATGAGCTAATAAATGATTAAGATAGTCCAAGCCTGGTATTTGGTTAGTTAGCAATTAACAGAAATTGACTATTCATATTAACTATCACCTCCTTCTAATAGTCTTCCCTGATCCCTCTAGTAAAAATAACCTCTTCCTTCTCCCAAATAGAACGATGACTTTTTTTGTCCTTCTCTAATGATTTTTATCACTTCCTACCATGGGGTATTTATTTTTATAGACATTCTATTTTGTCTGTAGAATATAAGCTTCAGTTCATCATTGTTCCTCCCGACTCAATAAATTTCGTATATTTAGCATTAAATTGAATGAAGAACTTGTTGGTTGTCAGACTGAATGTAACTATGGTGAGAGGGGTAGGCTTTTTTTTTCCACTCTGTTAGAAGTTATCTTCACTGTCATACCCTGAAGCAAATTTCATCAAAATAAAGGAATATCTGCATGTCCTATTCCTGCCTAGATTCTCTTTTGCATTTATTATTTCTCACCAAATGTAAGCCATTTGCACAAAATAGCCATGACAATGAACTATTAAATGGAACCAACAACCATTGTCTCTGCTCCCCACCCTTCGTAAGCACCACAGCAAATAAGGCAAACCTTAACGAAGATCCACAGATAAGAGGCTTCTGCAGTTGCCTTCTCCTCCTTGTGAATTCCTTACCACGGGTTGCGTCTCAATAATGGCACTTTTATTCTGCTTCCACATTGCGGACATTTACACATAGGTCTTATACTCACTCCTTTGCTATTAAAATGGAAGCTCCTAAGATTCTCGACAACAGCTCATTTATTTTTGTATCCCCTACAGTGCCTTGCACTGTGCTGAAAATAGAATGAATCGATACTATGTATTTGAACCACAGAAAAAGGAATCTTGATTTGTGAATGTTGAAATTCAGTGAGAGTGTAGGAAGGAAAACATTATCTGGAAAGAAATCCAAATGACATAAAAACAGTGTTGAGCTATATATGAAATAATCCAGCACTCAAAAAGCAAAGTTCTGAGTCTTTACCATAAAAGTTCAAAGTTTTTTACTGTAGCCTAGTGAAGAAACATGAAATTAGGAGTTGAATTGAATTAGTTTTGAATATGTGTGTACCATTCATTAGATATTTAACCTTGAACATATTATTTACACTTCCTGAGTTTCAGAACCTCTTATTGAGAGTGAAAGGAATGTTCATCTTGTATCCTTGAGTCAAGATTTAAATGAGGAAAGATATAAAGGTATCCTGAATAAGGCTCAGTATATAAAGCATATACAGTAAGTGACTAATAATGCTAGTTCTGTTGAATATGACTTGATACGTGCTAGTATGTAAAAAAATAAACAATGCAAGCCCAGCTTATCTTTCAGGAAGAGCCAAGAGACATGACATCAGCCATTAACTGAACAAAAGGAGACGAAATGAGTTAAGACAAGACAATAAGCACAGGCCTTTGTGAATATTGGGAAAAGACCAAGCTCATGTGCTGGGTATGATGCAATGCTTCTCTGTCTCTTCTTCTAAGTCCTGCAAAACATTTAAGATATAAAATGGGAATTGATTTTATCAGAACAATTCACAGAATAATTGAACCAGAAAATGTGTATTTCACTTTTACAGAGATGATTTTCAAGAACACTCATAGCTTATACAGAGTCCCTCATGGAAAAAAGAACCACCGAAATGAAACCTTGATCGATGACCACAGAGGAGGAAACTAGAGTAGGGGTGCATGTCCTAACATTAGAGTAGTTTCAAAAATAGCCCCCAAAGGGATTCTTAAGTTCCTCAAGCAAAGTGGGAGAGCAAACAGAAGACACAGAAGATTTGCTGTTCTGTGTGTCCCCTTAGCCAATGCCCTTCCTTCCCCACACCCCTATCTGTTGATTCTTGGGCCTCTGTGATTCATGACAGCATCATCATGGAAACTGGGGGCCACACCAAAGAAAATGGTTGCACCCAGGAAATCATCGACACTAAGTTTTCACAATTTGAATGATCTAAGCACCCATACTACCACTGATGCCACCTCATCTAACTTGTCCAACTCTCTTCCATCACTACTATCCTTCGTCACCAAGCCATGCCTGCTGCAGGGAGAGCCAGAACCACAGAATCCAAAGCTCTAAAGAGAGTACAGTTTCCACTCACTGGTTTTCCAAGGGCTTAGTGGTACTTCTGCCCAAATCCAAAAATCATAGACTTAGAAACAATACTTCAACGGGGGAAAAACAAAACCTTCAAAATACTTCCTGCAATATGATATTCCAGGGGTGAAAAGTGATTATGAAAATCCTTGGTGTTACAGTCAGTGGAATGATACACCCTATGTACTGAAGGATGTATGTCCAAAAGAAAGTTGGACTTACAGGAGCTTTTATAAGAGGAAAGCTTGTTTGTTTCCTCTTGTAAACAAGGGTTGCTTCCTGGAAGATTTCAACAAGGAGGGTTAGAAACAATGACATGAACCAAATAAATGATGCAAATAAATTAAAAACAACAACAATAACCAGCCTCTGGAATTAGAAGTGATTACATACACCATGACTTATGATAGGGGAAATTATGACAAATGCGTAAAAGTATAACTTTGAAGTCTAATGGGTTGGTCACGTTTCTCCATACAAATAACCACACCACACTCACAACCATAAGATATATTTCAAAAGACTAGAGTTTCCTCCACTTCAAGCTTTCTCTTCTCAGATCTTTCCAACTGCAGCTTTTGTCCTCATGTTAGCAATGACTATAGCAGGCAAAGGTTAGAGTCTGCATAAATGAAGCTGGTCCCCTTTGTTTGATGGATCCAACATTACACCGACCAAGTAAACATCCTCCTTTCTTAGCACCATAGACACACTGGCTCTCCCTCCTCATTTCGCCTGATAGAAAATGCACCAAGCTACAAATGTATGTGTTATCAAAGTGCCAAGGCCAAATCCAAAACAATTAGTGTAAAATCAATTTAATCAATCAAAACAAATTACAAATATGGCACTGTATTATTGTATGTACATGTATTGAATTATATGTCATTGTTATCATTGGATTATTGTATTTCAATAAATTGCAGTGCAAAAAACTTACTTTTCAAGCACATGCTATATGAAAAACATAACATTTTCATCAAGTAGAAATTGAAAATAAGTGTTAAAATGTTCAATGTAAAGCATATAATTAATATATGATTTCACAGTCCAGGTCAGTTGAAATATTATTACAGAGAAGAGCAATTAAGAGAATTTTAAATTACTAAAGCTTATTAATAAATGAGAAAATGATATTAGAAACAACTATATTTAATGAAGTCAAATGAAACTATATTTATTTAGTACTGTCTCTTCACAGCTTTAGATAAAAGTTTATTCTAGAACAATGACCTAAAATATAAGAGGTCTTTAATTTATTAGGTGCTCCCTTAATGTATTTACTAGTGGTATCCAGTGAATCCCTAGTATGTAAAATGTGTTTATTCCAAAATTTAAATAATCATTGGCTGAATTTTGGCAAGTAGGCAATATAGTCTCTACTTCATGCAATAATTGCAAATGTAATAAGAGATTTATCAAGGCATAGCCAAGGACGGAGTTTACATTGTGTCTTATTTTATTGTATTTACAGCTAATATATATTGAGTGCTCACTCTGTACTAAGCACTTGATCAGCATTGTTTCATTTAATGCTAGAAACATTCCTATGAGGTTGGTAATAACGATTGCCTCCATTTGACAAAAATTAGGAACCTGAGGCAAAGAGAACTTGGGTAGCTTGCCAAGGTCACACACTAGTAAATGGCAGAGTCATGACCTAAATGAAGTCCACTACCAGTTCTCCATTGGATTGCATCAGAATGTCTGGGCTATTTGCAGGTAATGGGATCTCAGTTAAATCTTGGATTTTGCCTAAAACAGACATTATTTCTGAGTATTAAAATGTTAAATGTGTTGTGTGATTTAAAAAATATTTATGAAATCCAAACTCTTTCATTTATTAATGGCTGGTTAATGGTTTGTAAATAAAGCTCAACCTGTTAAGCCAAACAAACAAAAAATTAGCTTATTAGTTTGGAATGTAAATTGAGAACTCATTAACTGGCTACTGTTTTTCCTGCTGCTATATTTGGTCTTTAGTTAGCACATGGAGTGTATAGCAAGAATAGAGGAGGTTGGCTTTCCTGGTAAGAAAACGCATAAAACCTTTCAACTTTATTAAATCCTCCAAATCTCTGCTATCCCCATCTGTTGCCATGTAGTATTACAGCATGTGCTATGCAGTGCAAAGACACAATGTTAACGGGGTTGAGAAAATGGGCTCATTCTTCCTTAGAAGCAAAAATCTGGCACTTTTCCTTGACCACAGAAAACACCAGAAATTCTTGGCCATCTACTTTGCAGATGCCAGCTACTGATTGTCAGTATGGTCAGGCAACAGCCTATGAGCGGCATTAACCAAATACATCACGACTAATGGAAAAACACTCAAAATGTATGCCACTGCTAAGGGTGTGTTAGTAATAACATTTTTGCACACAAACAACAGACACATTTATTACTTGACTTTTCATTCATTGACGAATCATTATGGGAAGGCACTAGATAGATGGGCATAGCATGCAAAAATAAATATTTGTTCTCAGCTAGTCATTTCTTCTCGCTTTTGACTGCATTATCCTGTAACATCTGTTTCTCAAACAATGGTAGGTTATAGAATTATGACACAAATACTTAACAGAATTCCATTCCTCAGAGAAAAACAAAAATAAAGCCTCAGGGCTCTGATTAGCTTTATTAGAGTGCTAGAAATAGGACTATATTACTGGAAAAACACTTCGAGATACTGCTCTTTGAATCAGAATAATTAGTATCTGAAACAAGAGAACTATGTTGTCTTTCTAAATGTTAACTCCAAAAATTCTGGAGTTAACAAAAATGTTAACTCCAGAAAATTGTGAGGTCCAAACCCTGCTGTCTTCACCATGATGATGGGCTGTGAGTCCTAATACAGTGTTCCTTTTGGAAATGACCAGAAGTAGAAGACAGGGCCTTGGATGTTAAACTCTAATTGAACCCAAGTCTCATAAGATTGATCTCCATTCTATAATTTTAGGATTTGTCTTGTCGTTATCATCCCTTTTATAATCAGCGTCAAATAAAATCTCCTGCTACTTTTACAAACATTCTGAAGTTGACGCATGCTAGCAAGTAAGCTTGTCAAACTTCAGAAATGCATCTACAGGAGAAATGTTGGGATTTTAAAAGCAAACACAGACTCCAATCTTTACCTTGGCAATCTTTAACTTGCCAAGTTACTTACTGCATAGTATTAACAACATTTATTCTACATAGCAAAGTCACCAGGCCTGCTTGCTCAGTGGATAGACTGAGCTTGGTAAGGAGTCCTCCGGTGCATCAGCTTAGCTGATCCTGGCATTCACAAAGTAGGAAGCTGACTGTGTATTTTGTGGGCTTCACCTTTTGCCTCGACCAGAAATCCTCACTATTAAAGCGTATTGTAAGATTCAGATACAGAAGAAGAATGCCCCCCTGGGGACACATGGTCATACTAAGCTCCAGGGGACACTACTACAGTTACCCTGGGATAATAATGGATCCCAGAGGGTGTCTCAGTGGAAGATTGGGACAGGAAGGACCCATCTCAAAGTTAGGAGATCCATGCTAGGAGCCTGAAAGCTAGAGAGGTGGAAGGAAAATACCAAAGAAGATAGCCTGAGTCACCAGGATAGCTATTATACTATCAAGAGGCTCATAAATCTGCTCTTGAAATAGAGTTGCCAGACTTAAATAAATATGCAGGATACACAGACACTCCAATAAATTTGAATTTCAGATAAACAACAGATAATTTTTTAGTATAAGTATGTCCCATGCAATATTCGGGACATCTGTACATTAAAAACTCATGTTTACCTGAAATTCAAATTTAAATAGGCATTTTGCATTTTATCTGGTCCCCTTACTCCTTGGAATGACTGATTTTCAGTCTGAGTTATATCTACATGCCTGGGTTTAGCAGAGCAGTGATTCTCTTAAGTGTAGTTCCTTCACCAGAAGCAGCAGTAGTAGCTAAGAAGCTGTTAGAAATGCAGATTATCCAGGCCAGGCGTGGTGGCTCACGCCCATAATTCCAACACTTTGGGAGGTCAAGACGGGTGGATTGCTTGAGGCCAGGAGTTCAAGACCAACCGGGCAACATGGCAAAACCCCATCTCTACAAAAATTAGCTGGGTGTGGTGGCACATGCCTATAGTCCCAGGTGCTAGGGAGGCTGAGTTGGGAGGATCACTTGAGCCTGGGAAGTCAAGGCTGCAGTGAACTATGATTAGGCCACTGAATTTCAGCCTAGGTGGTAGAGCAAGACCCTGTCTTGGGAAAAAAAAAAAAAGAAGACAAAGGCCTGGCACAGTGGCTAATGCCTATATGCCCATAATCCCAAGCATTTTGGGAGGCCAAGCCAGGAGGATCACCTGAGGTCGGGAGTTGAAGACCAGCCTGGCCAAGATGGCAAAATCCTGTCTCTACTAAAAGTACAAAAATTAGCCAGCCATGGTAGAGTGCACCTGTAATCCCAGCTACTCAGGAGGCTAAGGCAGGAGACCCAGGAACCAGAGGCTGCAGTGAGTCAAGAATGTGCCATTGCACTCTAGCCTGGGCAACAGAGTGAGACTCTGTCTCAAAAAAAAAAAAAAAGAAAGAAAGAAAGAAAGAAACGCAAATTCTCATTCCCATAGCAGACCTACTCCAGGGGTAGGGTCCAGCAATTATACCAAAATCTCTGGGAGATTCTACTGTACACTCAAGTTGGAGAAAGCGAGCATTAGAAGCCCTAGAAACAGCACTTAGTACATAGTATTAACAACATTTATTCTACATAGCAAAGTCACCAGGCCTGCTTGCTCAGTGAACAGACTGAGATTGATAAGGAGTCCTCTCTGGTACACCAGAACTGTAGAGGTTAGGAGAGATAAAATGAATAAAAGATAACCTGATTGAAGGAGAAAGGGAGTCAGGAACAATCCCAGGTACATCGGCGGTATTGAAAACACTATTTGATTCTCCACTTCTGTGTATTCTGGCTGTGCTCATTAGGTTTGGTTTCTGCCATTTCCTAGTTCCCTCCAGCAACTATTAGTAAGACTGTTATAATAAAGAGTTTGCAAGCTTATCTTCAGGGACACTGAAGATGGAAACACCAGCCATTTTTGAAGGGAGAGTGACTTAATAGAAAAAAAAAAAAAAATGAAGTCTTGGGCCTGGGGCAAAAAAAAGGAAATAGCCTCCAAGGACCTACAAATAAGCCCTGGAGGATTCCAAGCAGAAAGATGCTTGCTTTCCTGGCAGGAGTACGGTGCTGAGCCTTAAGGCTAGCTTTCTCCGCTCACTGTCATGCTTAGGGAGGAAACACCGCGCAGCCCCTCCCTGTGAATCCCGCAGTGTGCCAGCGTGTTGCAGTGAATGGGGAGAAGGCCAGGCTAGTGCCTCTGTCTAACCATGATCCCATAATCTGGTTCAAGCTACCTGACAAGACTGTTCCAGAACATCTGTGGTGTCTGCCTGGGTCGGTCCCTTCCCCACACCAGCTTCCCAGAAGGCTGACCTGGCTGCAAACCCTCCCCCTCCTCCTAACTAGCAAAACTTGATTCTCATTTAAGCTAAAGACGTAAAGCTCTCTTCTTACTTTGGAAATGCAGAGGGAAGGAACTCAATGTATCTTAACTGACTCTTAAATTCATCTGTTCTTTGCTTAAGTAGAACGATGCAGTGTAGCCTAGTGGTTAAGGGCACAAGCTCCCCAGCCTTGCTCTGCACTTGGCAACTCTGCCTGTTTTCTCTCTGTAGATAATCATATCACCTGTCTTTGTGTACTGCTGTGAGGATTAAATAATCAATGCATCTAAAGTTTAAAACAATACCCGGCTCACAGAAAGGGCTCAATAAGTGTTAGCTATTATTTTTACTAATTATTACTACTGCCACTAGTATCACCATTGCCAATTGAAGTCATATTCCCTGGATTCAGTGTTTGGATCGGAAGGAAGAAAAGAGTTCTATAACATCAGGGAGATAAAACACTTAGTTCTCTAGGCTGTGCTCCCCAAAATTGTTCTGTGCTTCCTAAGAATCAACTTAGAAGCTTATTATATATACAAATTCTGGGTCTCCATGTCACAGCTCTGATTTGGCCAGCACCACGTGGAGCCCCAGAATCTGCATGTGTAATAAGTACTCTCGGAGTGTCTGATGGTTTCTGAGGTTCAGGAACCACTGCTCTGGGAGAGGGCATTTCTCAAACCACAGGTGACCGCAGCTTTCCTGAATGACACATTCTTCCATTCCATCAATGTCTTCCTTCCACTTCAAGTTAACCTCTTGAAAAGTTAATTGATGCAAAGTATGAAATGATGTATTATGAGACTCTCAGCTCTGTTGGCATCCAGAGAGGCTATTTCACCATAGTGATGAAAGAGCAGTAATAATAGCTGCATGTGTTGAGAATTTACAGTATGCCAGGCACTGTACCAGGCAGCTTTTATACATGACATCTATCCTTTATAGGAAAGTAGTAGTATTCTCATTTTACAAATGAGAAAACAGGAAGACCAAGAAGTTAAGCATTTTGCCAAGGTCATTCTACTGTGAAATGACATAGCCAAGATTCAGGTCTGTAAGACAATAAAGCTGAGGTATTTTCCTCCATTCCAGTAGCTCTCAATCATTATAGTGTGTGGCATGGGAAGAGGGGAGTCACTTGAAAAACTCTCTAAAAAGTCAGATTCCTGGGCCCAAAACACAAAGATGCTGGTTCAATAAGTCCAGTTGGGGCCTAGAAACCTGCGTTTTAATAGGCAGCCCATTTAATTCTGATGCAGGTGGTTTAGCTTACATTTTGAGAAGCAGTACTCAATACAATTTATCTCACCTTGATTTAAAATCCCTTCAATTCTGGTGAATATAAAAGAGGTTCAAATAAGTCCAAGAATTTCCTAGAATGATAGTTTCATGTTAATTTGTAAATGTTTAAATAAAAGTTATGTGATTAGCACTTGCTTTGAAGAAATCTTAACTTTTGTTATCTCCTCAAATGGCAGCAGATAAATAACCAAGCTCCCTTTTGGATTATGTCTGCAATAGAGATACTACTCTGAGGAAGATTAATTGTCTTCAAAGGGCTCTTGTTGTTGCTTTTTGTTTTCTAGCCATGGTGCCTAGATGAAATATACTTCCTTTTACATTATCTTGAAAGTAGAAATTATGTTCAGGTTCATGAGTGGAAGACACAGACTTTCCCATTTTTCTTTATTCTAAAATAACTACAAAAATCCTTTAAACATCTGCAGTGCAGACAAGTAGAAAATTACTAACATTTACAACACAGTGTACAATAATATCAATTATAAAGTTTATGCACAGAACCAGAAAAACAATGACTTCACTTAATCTCAAAACCCAGATATAATCTTGATACGAGTCCCCTGTACAGGTTGGTTGTGAACATTTGCTCCAGGCCACAGAACATTAGTTCCCTTTCTAGAAAGCACAGGCTACATGCCTGACCCATAGTCCCAGGAAGGCAGAGGGGACCCTTGTCACAAATCAGCTGAGTGAGGAAAAAACTTGAGTTGTGACAGAGACTCAAAATTGAAAGAATGCCAAAATATCCCATTCTGAGATAAGTGCGAAGAGACAGCTCTCTCCTGCATGTTGCCCTCAAAAGCATCAAAATGGGCAGGCCAGATAGATGGAAAGAGGCCTTAGTCAGCTCTCTTAACCTTTCCAAGCCTCAGTTTCCTCATCTGTAAATTGGCTGTAGGAGACGGGGGACACAAGAGACAATTCCTTTCTAATGGAGTTGTTATAAGGATTATATGAGTTCATTTTTATGCAGTTCTTACCACAGTGCCCAGTAAAATGGCGTGTAGAAAATACTCAAAAAATATTGCAATTATTAATTTTCCAACAACAAATAAGTTAGAAATACTAAAAAGGCTGCAGGACATAGTAAAAAGGAAAGGGAATGTATTAGTCCGTTCTCACATTGCTGTAAAGAACTACCTGAGACTGGGTAGTTTACAAAGAAAAGAGATTTAATTGACTCACAGTTCTGCAGGCTGTGCAGAAGGGATGGCTGGGGAGGCCTCAGGAAACTCACAGTCAAGGCAGAAGGCAAAGGGGAAGTAGGCACATCTTCACATGGCAACAGGAGAGAAAGAGTGAAGAGGGAAGTGCTACACACCTTTAAACAACCAGATCTTGTGAGAACTCACTATCAGGAGAACAACATGAGGGAAATCTGCACCCGTGATCCAATCACCTCCCACTAGGCCCCTCCTCCAATACTGAAGATCTTAATTCAACATGAGATTTAGGTGGGGACACAGAGCCAAACTATATCAGGGAGATGGTCAAATAGTGTTTTCAGTAGTCTTTTAACAGTCATTACATTACTCACGTTAGCGAAGTGCCTCGGTTTAAAATAAATAGCTGCACAACCTGATCATAAAGAAGTACTATATGATCATTTGCAGAGGAGGCAATCTGGTGAGTACACCTTTCACTAATGTTTCAGGCAACAAATTTTACCTAAATACAAATGAGTTCACATCAGGCTCTTCTAAGGTGTCAATGTTCCCTGCTACAGAAAAGCTAAGGAAATCTGTCTGTGTTCTTTTTGTAACAAATGCCTGCTAATCGAAAGTAAAAGACTCTCTCAGGCTTTACTTCTCAGGTACAAAGCACTATTTCTCTGATTAATGATCCAGATATCTGCAGTAACTGCAAAGCGAACGTTCTCTAGTTCTAACAGAGTCAGCTACCTCTGCCCAGGTGTTAAGCCCGTGCCCTCATCCTGGGGGGTGTTTGGTAATTAGCAGTGCCAGCAGGTGTTTGCACTTGCTGCTGTTCCTGGTAGTTAAGCATATGTGTCAGGTCCCTGTTGCAGGGAGAAGAAAAGGGGAAATAAATGATTCACCCTAGCTCCAGCAAGGTCAGCTCCTTCCAGAAGAAAAAACAGACTTTTTGTCTCTGCATCAAGCACTCTCCTTGTTCATCCTCTAAAATCCTCAGCTAATTTTGAAGTTAGCATTGGCACTTGCTCCTGCTTTCATTTAGCAATACCTCTTTAGGATGGCTCTCTCCAAATGGCTCTCTTGAAATTTGCTGTGCTCTGGGCCTTTATGACCTGATTTTCTGCAATTAAAATTCCTCTTTCTTGAAATGTACCACATTCTCTCCAACTCTACTCCCTGACTGTCAAGGGATTGCTTAGCCAGGCTAATAAGGAATTTTGCTAAGGGATGATGAGTGCCCGAGTGTTGTGGGAAAAAGATTTTATTCCACATTAACCTTGCTCCCACAAAATATACTCAGATGACTGGCTCTGTGTAGGGTCTGGAGGAAGCAAGATTTGTAGCATTTGCCAATTTCCATGGTGTAAATTCTCCCACATGGCCAATGCCAAGGTACCAACATGGCAGAGCTAGGAAGAGATCCACAGAATCGGCTCTCATATATTGGTATGAGTGCACTCCAGCACACCCCTGGCTCCTGCAGGATTCACAGTGATTTCCTAAGTGTCATGATTCCCAGGAAGTGAGAATATTATGACTAGATGTGGTTGATTTAAGAGACATTTTAAGGCAAAAAGGGGTCACATGGAATATTTAAGATTGCATTGCAGACTTCTGCAAGATAGCAAAATAAACTCACATGTTTAATTCGTCTCCTTCCAGACAGCCTCTTAAAAAAAAAAAAAACTAAATGATAAAAAATGTATAAACCTACAGCAAGAAACGAGGGGAGGAAAGCCATCAGAGGATGATAGATTTTGGCAAATTTCTGTGAGACAGAAAGCAGATGGAGCGGTGACAGATAACACAGGGCCGAGGCAGCCGCCCCAGAAACACTTGCAGAAAGGACACCGATGGAAACCTGATCTGGCTTGCCCAGAGCTCTACACTCTGGGAAGACAAAGACTGTGGAATGGGTGAGGAAAGGAACTAAAAGTCACAAGGAGTATTGGGAAGTCACATGGTTCATGCTATCGGAAATGCTTGGTACCTGCTGGATGACAAATAATGGGGTGAAAACATCTAGAGGGAAACCCCGCAAATCTGGGGAGGTTTGAACTACATAACTCTTCAAGATCCCTGGAATTCCAACCAGATGAACATCCTCAGAGACTCCACCCTAGCGATTCAGATCAATCACCAAGTGTTGGAGTATCTAGTTCTACCCAGCCTTGGGAGGCCTCTCAAATGCATATATATATATCAGTCAACGAGCAACTGTGTTAGTGTGTGCTTACTGCAAGAGCAGCCTAAATACTTTGTACTGAGCAAGGTGTCACCTGATACTTCAACAGAGAAGAATATGGGAGCAGACAATTGAGACATTTAGCCTACTTAGTATTTTGAGAAACACAAACTTGAGGTGGCAGATGACTCTGCTGTCAGGTAAAAGGCTGTGACCCTGAAGAACTTGCTTATTTCACAAACATTCTCATCTCAAAGTCTATATAAGCACCCTGTGCATCCATTAAACAAATATAGGTGCACCTACTAAGTACCAGTTCTCTGCTACATGTTGAGGAGACAAAGAGATGAGTCAGGCTGGGCGCAGTGGCTCATGTCTGTAATCCCAGCACCTTGTGAGGCTGAGAAGAGAGGATTGCTTGAGGCCAGGAGTTCGAGAACAGCCTGGGCAACAAAGTGAGACACCAACTTTACAAGAAACATAAAAAATTGGTGGCATGTGCCTGTAGTCCCTACTTGGGAGGCTGAGGTAGGAAGATAGCTTGAGCCCAGGAGTTACAGTTTGCAGTGAGCTAGGATGATGCCACTGCACTCCAGCCTGGGTGATGGTGTGAGATACTGTCTTTAAAAAATAAAACTTAAAAATGAAAAATTTAAAAAAATAATCAGGTAAGGTTTGACCTGAATTTGCTTTCATAGAGCAGGAGCAATAAAATTTGTCTCCATATAACTGTGAGGACACAGGAGCCAACAGTGCCATGAGAGAGGAAGAGGGTGGCAAGGCGGTTCCTAAGGGAGATGGAATATTTCCAGCTGGGAGTGGGGGACATTGGGATGCCAGGGATGCCAGACAAAACACAGGACACACATGTAAATCTGTTTTTTGGCTTTAAAGATTTATTTGGGGGAGGGGACATCACACTTCTACTCAGTGAAAAGAAACATCCAGAGGTCTTTTATTTTTTTTACGTCTATTATGCAATGACTCCAGAGGGAAGAGGTTCCAGCAGCTCAGGCTCCTTCCCATTGGTTCTTACACAGTGTTCTCTAATGGAGCAGGCTGGCGCTTCAGTCAAACCCAGGTACCTTTCTCTTTGGCTTCCTTGTTTTTCTGATCATTTTCCTTCACACATTTCAGGAAGCTATCTTGACTCTCAGAGTGCTTAACGTGCACAATCTACACATCAATTCTCTTGGCAAGAATCTTGCCCCTACCTTGTTTATTTACAAAAATGCCAACAGCATGCTGGGTAGTATTGTAGACTCTTCCAGTTTTGCCATGGTAACACTTGTGGGGCCTTCCTTTTTGGACAGTACCCATTCCCTTGATGTCTACAATATTACCTTTCTTATAAGAGCAACTCAATATTTTCTGAAAGGCCTGGAGGACATCTATCAGGTGCCTCTCCTCTTTCCCTCTACGTTCATCACTTTGGCAAATTACTGAAAGATGGCAGTTCCAGCCAAAAGGCCCAGTTAAATTTTAATTTCAGATAAACAACAAATATTTTTTCAGTAAAACCTTGAAAACCACTGTGGCTTGGTTTATAGGGCAGGTAGGATATACATTGTCATGGAGACTGGGGACAATGCATTCCAGGAAAATAGGAAATACAGTTAGTTTTTCCATTTTTGAGTTAAATATCACCTTCCCATAAGAGTCTTCTCTGATTTCCGTGTTTAAAATCTCAACCTCCTGGCCAGGCATGGTGGCTCACGCCTGTAATCCCAGCAGTTTGGGAGGCTGAGGTGGATCACTTGAGGTTAGGAGTTTGAGACCAGCCTGGCCAACATGGTGAAACCCCACCTCTACTAAAAATACCAAAAAAAGAAAAAAAAAAAACCAGGCATTGTGGTGCATGCCTGTAATCCCAGCTACTCGGTAGGCTGAGGCAGGAGAATCACTTGAGCCCAGGAAGCGGAGGTTGTGGTGAGCCAAGTTCCTGCCACCACACTCCAGCCTGGGCGACAGAGTGAGACGCCATCTCACAAAAAAAAACACAGAAATCTCACCCTCCTGTTCCTGCAGTATTTTTCTCCATAGCATTCCTCACTACATGACATATCATGTCTTTGTTTGTTTATTGTTTCTCTCTCCCTTCCAGAATATTAGTGCAGGAAAAGTTGTCTATGTTTGTTCACTATTATATTCCTATGCCTCCAACAATGCATGGAATAAAGTAGGTGCTCAAAAGATATTTTTGACTGAATGAATGACAAATGAACAAGTAAATAAACAAAATTGGCAAGACTAATTTTTTTCCTCGTGACTGACACTGGAAAAATACTTAGTTTGTGTTTGTTGAAACGTGAAAACACTAATACAATCCCAACCCTGATGTGGCATTCAAACTGAATGGGGACAGAAAAAGACGGTAACAGAAGAAACTACGGGATCTTAAAGAAACATGAATTTAACCAAGAATCACAAATAGTGTATGCAAAACCTGTTTCACTTCTGCCAAGCCAGGGGCTGTTGCAGTGATTGTAGAACTCAGGTCAGCAACTGAATCACTCTGAGAGGTTGGACTTGGGCAATGATCTCACTGGCCAAGAAGGAGGCAGAGTCTCTAGCCCCTCTCAGCATCCAGAACAGTCTAATTCCTTGCCCGGGGAACCACTTTCCTCCACAGACCACATGTCCTCAGAAGGCAAACACCACCACTGTATTAGTCCGTTTTCACACTGCTATAAAGATATACCGGAGGCTGGGTAATTTATAAAGAAAGGTTTAATTGCCTCAAAGTTCTGCATGGCTAGGAAGGCCTCAGGAAACACAATCATGGTGGAGGTGGAAGCAGGCATGTCTTACACGGCAGCAGGCCAGAGAGCATGTGACAGAAGCATAAGGGGAAGAGCCCCCCCAAAACCATCAGATCTCATGAGAACTCACTCACTATCATGAGAACAGCATGGGGGAAACTGCAACTATGATCCAGTCACCTCCCACCAGGTCCCTCCCTCAACACCTGGGGATTGCGATTCAAGATGAGATTTGGGTGGGGTACAAAGCCAAACCATTTCAACCACCTAGCATTCTGATGCTGGTTTCCTCCAGAGCAATTGCCCAGCCTCAGTGATGTCCTTCAGAGGTAATAAAGAGACCAAGTGAAGGAGGGGCATGTATCCCAAATAGAAAGGGATCATATATTAAAACAAAAATCAGGAAAGCCTACTTTTACATACCACCTGTGGGAGTCAGGGATTGTGTGGAGGTTTCTCAGATTCTGCACATTGTCGCTATGCCCCTCCCTGATCTCAGGAGAAGCCTACACAAAAGCGACATCTCCTGCAAATAAAGTCAGGCTTGGTCCCTGTCAACCTGCTCTTGTATAACATGCTCCCTGTCAAGAAAGACGCATGCATCTGTAGATGTTAATTGACAGGTAGATTTAAGATAGGAGACTCTCAGAAAAGAGGAATCTGATGGAACTTCCACTTAACAGCTACTGCATCACTAAGACCATTTATCACTTAGCTAATACAGTCAGTGTATTCCTAATACTTTCTGAATTTACAGGTCACCAAACTGCTTTAAAAAAATCAACAAGTGCAGATAGAGCTCTGTTTCTTACATGGCAGTATATTTGCGCCGCTAGCTTCCTGTTTCTCCACTTCCTCACTAGGAAGTGACATCTCAAGACCTTAATTTTCTGTTATTAAATTGCCACTCACTGTCTTTTATGTACTTGTGACACTTAGACAAACACTGCGTGATGGTGGCGGGGTGGTAGGGGCTGCGGAGGTAGAGATGGAAGGAGGAGAAAATGAAAGCAAAGGAAAAGAAAGGAAAACAAAATCTAGAATATAATTGAGTCATGTTTCTAAAGAAACAGTAAACAATGAGAATAGAAAACAAGGCCGGGCACAGTGGCTCACACCTGTAATCCCAGCACTTTGGGAGGCCAAGGCAGGCGGATTACCTGAGGTCAGGAGTTTGAGACCAGCCTAGTCAACATGGTGAGGCCAAACCCCATATCTACTAAAAAAAAAAAAAATACAAAAAAAAAAAAATTAGCCAGGCATGGTGGCACGTGCCTGTAATTCTAGCTACTCAGGAGGCTGAGACACGAGAATCACTTGAACCCAGGAGGCAGAGGCTGCAGTGAACCAAGATCACACCACTGTGCTCCAGCCTGCTGTGAGACTCCATCACAAAGTGAGACTCCACCTCAAAAAAAAAAAACACCACAATATAAGACCCTGCTTAGAGCACACACCCCTTTAAAACAATGGAGACTTAAATGGCATAAAACTGAATTGGCAAACTCTGAGCTATTTAAAGACTTGTTCACTCATGTATTCCCAGGGCTGAGAAGAGAGTCTGGCACATAGTAGGCACTCAATAAATATGCATCAACTGAATACATCAATTCATTGGATTAATTTGCATATCTTGGTCAAGGAAAGTATTACATATGGTATTCTTATTTGAAACATTTTACATCAATAGAACTAAAATGTAACAGGGAGCTTTCAATGTATCTATGACATTGAGGACAAAAAAACAGTCTTTGCCCAAGCCTTGGCTCAGAGTGGGTAAGTGTATACTATAACTCGGGTGGCACCACTGCCTGGATACTAACATCTAAGAAGAGGATAAAACTTCCCCCAAGTTAATCAATGAGTCTCGGGCAACTCCTAATAGTGTTTTCCTTCTGGGAGGCCTGCCCATGTGTGCTCCATTCCCAGGGAGCATACAGCCCAGATGGTCCTTCCCATTGACAAAATGTGACAACATGACACCATTACAATTTTGGCAGGAGATCGACACATTCCTTATTCTGATACTACAGGCTTAACTAGGCCAATGAAATCTAAGGCATTTTGTGTCATTATTTCAGTCCTTACTCTTTCCAGAAATTATCATCGCAATTATAGATGGACATCACAGCATCCATTAGAAAGGCAGTTCATGATATTCTAAATTCTTGATGTTCCTCCAGAAAGAATCAAATTACCAGGAGATGCAGGCTGGAATGATGTGAAGGGAGCGAAATGAAGTAGGGGGAGGGGCAGGGTCCAGGGTTCAAGTATCATCCCTGCCTTCTAGCCAGGGATTTCTCTCTACAAATCTCAGTGAGTGTCCCACGCAAGTCAATTTAAACCTAAAATCCTTAGTACGAGGAATAACATGTAGAGGAAAAAGGCACTAAGCAAGTTTCAGAATGTTCCCTGCATGGGCTACATTGCCTGCTGACAGGAACCCAGCTGACAGGTAGGGTGGAATCTTCAGGAGCACAGGTGGGAGCAAGTCAGAGCATCAAGCTGTTAAAGTGGAGAGCAGAGATGTGGGAAAATGATTTTTTAGAAATTCAGACATCTAGCATTGTGGGATCCGCTGAGTCCCTCATTTGCTTTTTTATTTCTCTTTTTCCATGAAAATAATGATTCTACGTACTCTGCCCTGTGATGGTTATGAAGTAGAATAAAACATTGTTCCAAAAAGATTTCCTGGCTGGGCACGGTGGCTCACGCCTGTAATCCCAGCACTTTGGGAGGCCAAGGCGGGCGGATCATGAGGTCAGAAGCTCAAAACCATCCTGGCTAACACGGTGAAACCCCATCTCTACTAAAAATACAAAAAAAATTAGCTGGGCGTGGTGGCGGGGCGCCTGTAGTCCCAGCTACTCGGGAGGCTGAGGCAGGAGAATGGCGTGAACCCAGGAGGCGGAGCTTGCAGTGCGCCGAGATTGCGCCACTGCACTCCAGCCTGGGCGACACAGCGAGACTCCATCTCAAAAAAAAAAAAAAAAAAAAAAGATTTCCTGAACATCTCCTGTTTACCAGACATGGAGCTGGGTAGGCACTGAGGATACAGAAGTGAGTTAAGACACAGACTTTGCCCTCCTGGAGTTTCCCAGCTAGGATAGGAGTTCACACCCAGAATCTACATTCTTCTTGAGTACAAAGTCAAGGCTATTGTTTCTTCCTTCAAGAAACAAACATGGAAAATTAGAAATAAACTTGCCATAATTCATGGAATCTCCAACCCAAAACTTTTTGACCAAAAGTCTGGAAGACAATTAGTTACCATCAAAGATGTCAGTTGGCCTTATTAAGTAAAAGGTTGCCAACCAATGAGCTAGAAAGGCATTAAAAAAATGTTCTGGCAGAAATGCTGCCTACATTTCCCCAGACTTCATGAAGTTGTGGGTGCAGATAATGTCACGGACACAGAAATAATGCACAGCACATTGGCTTTTATTCCCACTTACTTTAAAAAGTCAAAGCCTCCCCTACTTATATCTGGGAAAGCCCAAAAATGTGCCAGGATTAGGAGACAGTCTAGGATGCACACTTTCTGCCACTTGCTTCTCCTTCACCCTCTGCTTGATGTCCACTTCATCGAATGTGTCTCTCTTTCATCACTGGTACCATTCCTCTATTGAGACATTCATGCCTGTGATACCTGTACCCTCCCAAAAGATGCCAACCCTTGAGGTACCAAAACAGCTCTAGAAAGAAGAAGTGATTGTCTCTTGCGTATTTACATTACACATCATGTATGTCCTATGTCTCACAGGACCCTCATGGAAACAGGGCTTAGGGACCATGCCTCCCTCGCTCTTCCTCCCATGTAAGTTATCCCAACAAAATAGACACAGACTCTCGTTGGTCTCCCACCTGCCTTCCCCCACATCTAAAAAATGAGTCATGCCTGACATGTCTGAACCCAGTGGTCAGCATGGCTCAAGTTCAAACTAGAGTCCTTGAAGAAGAACCTGCTGAATCCTAGGCTTCTGCGAAAGAGCCAGTAAATATGTAGCTCATTTATTCTTCAAAAAACTCAGAACACAAACTAAGTGTTGAATACTTGGAATACCTTGATCATTTTTCTTAAAAAGACATAGTCCCGCTACTTTTAAAACTAGTAAATCCAAAACACAAAAATACGTAATTACTAGCAAAGACAAAGTATTATGAAAGAAATAAAGAGCGATGGAAAAAAGATATTCATAGCTTACCAAAACACAGCCGAAATTTGGGGGCAAGTTCAAGAGTTTTGAACAATGTTTTATTGTCTCTTTACATGTTGACTAAGTACAGATCTATTGAGTTGGAACAAAATGTCATGCAGGTCATTCTTAACAACTCAGTAGGTCCTACAGAAGGTAGCACCTTGTACTTTCTCATTTTAGTGATCACCCACAGACTACTGTTAGGTCACTGAAGAGGATTTGCAACTGCTCTCAGGTTTTTGGACACAAAAGATTATGCTCTGCTCTTTGTATGTGAGCTGTGAAGTGTTAAGTCCTTCCATCTTGGTGCTGTCCACACACAATAATGTTCATAATTACATTATCCAGATTAGTGATTAAAAAAATAAAATGCTAAGCCAGTGTCATCCACCGACAACGTTAACCCAGGTGGATAGACATTAAGTCAGTACTACTATATGAACATCAGTGCTTCCATATAACATCAGTACTTCCTGCCGATGTTAATGCCATGTGGAATGAAATAAAACCCACTAGACTCCAAATATGCTGTCTGTATTACTCTCTTCTTCCACACATTGCCCAAAGGAAACTAGTCTTCTCACATGATCAGCTCTTCACAGAATAACTGCGATGACCATGGAGTATCCTCAGGTCTTCCATATATTTATCAACTAAAGTTTTTATTCTTTTATGATCCCACATCAGAGATGCACAAGTTTCCTGGTGACATTTTGTGTCAAACTCTGTATGAACTGAGTTCCCAGAGGCTATTTACATTTAACATCACTACAGCTATGGGTTTGCATTAGGTATTCAGTGTTTTTCTGAGGCTTTATGTAAATCAATTACTTTAAGAGCTAATAACATGTCCCAGTGACTTCAATTATAACTTCAAAGAATAGCTCCCACTGGGACTATGCAGGCCATAACACATATAGAGACACATGTAGAGAACATCCTGTCTTTGTCAATGCATGGTCTACATGCATGTAGTTGCCTGCCTTATATTGTGTTGGGCAAATGTACAAATCAATTAACATGCTCTTCAGTGACCAATTATTAATGCATTTATTAAATTATGTCATATTAAATCAGTATTGCAATCAGATACTCTTACCGATCTTGAAAATCTGACTTTCTAAAAATCACAAATTTCATGCAATTGTTCCAGATATTTTATATGACCCCATATCTTCTTGTCTGAAGAAGTGTTCCTTGAAGCAATGCTCAGAGTATGCAACAAGATATTACTGGGAATTTCAGTGCAATTCATGCAATTTTTTTAAATTGTTAAATATTAATTGACTATATACTGATTAGTGAATGCCACAGCCAAATTAAAATTTCTAATAAAGTATATTGATGACATGTTTCCATCTGGAAACAACAACTGTTTAACAAAAAACTAAACAATACATTTTCTAGAAGCACACAGCTGGTACAGCAGTTAAACATGTAAACAATAATTATATATATCACATATGTAATGTGATACTAATGAAATACTGATTAATTATGGTAAGAAAATAATAAATATAATCAGAAATATGATTGGTGCTTTATCAAATTACATATTGTCACAGTAATACTGTACTCCATCTTCCAATAGCAAAAGGAAGAAAAATATAAGTCTAGATACACACACACACACACACACACCTGCATGTAGAAGAGCTATACATGGTAAGTTCAGGAAAGGAAATTTTACAATAGCACGGTTAGAACTAACTACTTCCCAATGCTGTTCAACTCCCTCTTCTAGTCCATGTTCATTCAAAAACAAAAAAAATTGACTCACATATTGGTGGAGGAACTGGCTCTGAAAATTCCAAATTCTGCCCCTTCACATGGATTCTTGAAGCAATTAGAATAGGCAGTGATCAGGGGCAGGCATGGTGTCTCATGCTTATAATCTCAGCACTTTGAGAGATTGAGCTGGGAGTCTCTCTTGAGGCCAAAAGTTTGAGAATAGCCTAGGCAACATATGGAGATCCCATCTCTACAAAAAAATTAAAATAAAAAGAATAGGCAGTGGTTTTTTTCATGCTAACAATACTTCTTTGCCCACCTAACAAATTCTACCCATCCTTAACATCCCAGCCCAATCACTACTTTTTCATTGATATCTTCAGTGTTTCCCACCCTGCCACACCCACCCACCACAGCAAAAACAAACTTTTTTTACATTTATCGGTTCACTACAAAGGATATTTTAATGAATCCAAACAGATGGTCAGATGAAGAGATTCACAGGGCAAGATCTGGAAGGGTCCCAAGTGTGGGAGCTCCTGTCCCTGAGGACTTGGCAGCATGTGAATGTGTAAGCCTCCATGTGTTTGGCTATCTGAAAACTCCCTGGCCTTTTCGATTTTTGTGGAAGCTTCACTACACAGGCACGATTGACAATTAAGTTACTGTTGGACCCTGCACATATCATACCCTCTGCAGTGCCCTTAAGTGACTATACTGAGATTGTTTATAAATATATCTCCCCTCTGGTTCATGAGCCCTTTAGGACTAGGAATTGCATCCATGTGTTTTCAGCTTGTATCGCCAATGTCAAGCACAATACCTGGCATGGGGCGGACAAGCATTCAATAAGTATTTGTTGAATTTCTTAATTAAATTAAATTAAAATTGATGAGAGTCTCATTTCTCATTTCTGCCAGAGATGTTGGATGGAATTAATCTGATACTTTCACTCTTGACTTCACTGGGTGAAACTATACTTCTGTTTTATAGTTCTTAATTATTTTTGGATACTTTACTTGCCATTACCTTGACCTAATCATGCATATTTTTATGAAAGTGTATCACCTCTCATCTGTGGCTTCTTCCTGGACGCTTTTCTATACATTATAGGAAGAATGTATCATTATATGGCAAAAAGAGTGAAAACAGTTGCCCAAAGTCATGGTTCTATCCCTGGCACCTGAATTTTCATAGGCAGGTCATTTAAGCTCTCCAAGCCTCCATTTTCTCATTTTTAAAGAGAGAATAAAAATGTCTTCCTTGCAGGCAGACACCTTTGCTGTTCTGCAGCCTCCACTGGTGGCACCTCCATGTGCAGGAGAGACCCAGGTGAATAGGGTCTGGAATGAACCCCCAGCAAACCGCAGCAGCCCTACAGAAGAAGAGCCTGACTGTTAAAAGAAAAACAAATAGAAAGCAACAACAAGAACAACATCAACAAAAAGTCCCCACAAAAACTCTATCCAAAGATCAGCAGCCTCAAAGATAAACTCATGAAGATGAGAAAGAACCAATGAAAAAATGCTGAAAACTCAAAAAGCCAGAGTGTCTCTTCTCCTCCAAATGATTGAAACACCTCTCCAGCAAGGCCACAGAACTAGGCTGAGGCTGAGATGAATGAACTGACAGAAGTGGGCTTCAGAAGGTGAGTAATAACAAACTTTGCTAAGCAAAAGGAGCATGTCCTAACCCAATGCAAAGAAGCTAAGAACCATGATAAAACATTATAGGAGCAATTGACCAGAATAACCAGTTGATAGAGAATAACTTGATGGAGCTGAAAAACACAACATGAGAACTTCACAATGTAATCACAAGTATCAACAGCAGAACAGATCAAGCAGAGGAAAGACTTTCAGAGCTTGAAGACTATCTTGCTGAAAAAAGACAGGCAGATAAGATTAAAGAAAACATAATGAAAAGGAATGAACAAAACCTCCAAGAACGGCTGGGTGCAGTGGTTCATGCCTGTAATCCAGCACTTTGGAAGGCCAAGGGGGACAGATCATGAGGTCAGCAGTTTGAGACCAGCCTGGCCACCATGGCGAAACCCTGTCTCTACTAAAAATACAAAAATTAGCTGGGCATGGTGGCAGGTGCCTGTAATCGCAGCTACTTGGGAGGCTGAGACAGGAGAATCATTTGAACCCAGGAGGCGAGGTTGCAGTGAGTCGAGATTGTGCCATTGCACTCCATCCTGGGTGACAGGGAGAGACTCCATCTCCAAAAAAAAAAAACCCTCCATATGGGGTTGTATAAAAAGACCAAACCTATGACTGATTGGAATACCACAAGAGATGAGGAGAATGGAACCAAGTTGGAAAACATACATCAGGATATCATCCAGGAGAACTTACCAAGCCTACCAAGTCAGGCCAACATTCAAATTCAGGAAACCCAAAGAACCCCAGTAAGATACTCCATGAGAAGATCAACACCAAGACATATAATCATCAGATTCTCCAAGGCTGAAATGAAGGAAAAAATGTTAAGGGCAGCCACAGGGAAAGGCCAGACCACCCATTAGATGAACAGCAGACCTCTCCGCAGAAACCCTACAAGCCAGAGGAGATTGGGAGCCAATATTCAACATTCTTAAAGAAAAGAATTGCCAACCCAGAATTTCTTATTTGGTGAAATGAAGCTTCATAAGTGAAGGAGAAATAAAATCCTTTTCAGACAAGCAAATTTTGAGGGAATTTATTACCATCAGGCCTGCCTTGCAAGAGCTCCTGAGGAAAGCACTAAATATGGAATGGAAAAACCATTACCACCTACTACAAAAACCAATGTCACTATGAAGCAACTACATCAACAAGTCTGCTAAATAACCAGGTAGCATCATGATAACAGGATCAAATTCACACATAACAATATTTACCTTAAATGTAAATAAGCTAAATGCCCCAATTGAAAGACTCAGAATGGCTATCTGGATAAACAGTTAAGACCCATCAGTGTGCTGTATTCATGAGACCCATCTCACATGCATAGACACACATAGGCTCAAAATAAAGGGATGGAAGAAAATTTACCAACCAAATGGAAAGCAGGAAAAAAAGTAGGGGTTACAATCCCAGTTTCTGACAAAACAGACTTTAAATTAACAAAGATCAAAAAACACAAAGAAAGGCATTACATGTGGTAAAGGACTCAATTCAACAAGAAAAGCTAACTATCCCAAATATATATACACCCAATACAGTAGCACCCAGATTCATAAAAAAAAGCTCCTAGAGACCTACAAAAGGACTTAGACTCCCACACAATAATAATGGGAGACTTTAATGCCCAACTGTCAATATTAGACAGATTATTGAGACAGAAAATTCACAAAGATATTCAGGAGTTGAACTCAGCTCTGGATCAAGTGGACCTGATAGATATCTATGTAACTCTCCTCCCAAAAACAACAGAATATACATTCTTCTCAGCTCCATATGGCACTTACTCTAAAATGCATCACATAATTGAAAGTAAAACACTACTCAGCAAATGCAAAAGAACTGAAATCATAACAAACAGTCTCTCAGACCACAGTGCAATCAAATTAGAACTCAAGATTAAGAAACTCACTCGAAACCACATGACTACATGAAAATTGAACAATATGCTCCTGAAATGACTCCTGGGTAAATGATGAACTTAAGGCAGAAATCAAGAAGTTCTTTGAAACCAAGGAGAACAAAGAGACAATGTACCAGAATCTCTGGGATGCAGCTAAAACAGTGTTAAGAGGGAAATTTAAAGCACTAACTGCCCACATCAAAAAGCTAGAAAGATCTCAAATCAACCCCCTAGCATCACAACTAAAACAACTGGAGAACCAAGAGCAAGAAAACCCCAAAGCTAGTAGAAGATGAGAAATAACCAAGATCAAGCAGAACTGAGGGAGACACAGACACAAAAAAACCTTTAAAAAATCAACGAATCCAGGAGGTAGATTTTGAAAAAAATAATAAAATAGATAGACCACTAGCTAGACTAAAAAAGAAGAAAAGAGAGAAGAATCAAATAGATACAATCAGAAATAAGGGGGATATCACCACTGACCCCACAGACATACAAACAATCATGAGAGAATACCATAAATACTTCTGTACTAATAAACTAGAAAATCTAGAAGAAGTGGATAAATTCCTGGACACATGCCCACTCTCAAGACTGAATGAGGAAGAAGTTGAATCCCTGAATAGACCCATTATAAGCTCTGAAATTGAAGCAGTGATAAATAGCCTACCAACTAAAAACAGCCCAGAACCGAAGAGATTTACAACTGAATTCTACCAGAGATACAAAAAGGAGCTGGCACCATTTCTTCTGAAACTATTCCAAATCAAAGAAAAGGAGGGACTCCTCCCTAACTCATTTTATGAGGCCTGTATCATCCTGATACCAAAATCTGGCAGAAATACAACAACAAAAAAGGAAACTTCAGGCAAATATCCCTGATGAACATTTATGTAAAAATCCTCAATAAAATACTGGTAAACTGAATCCAGCAGCTCATCAAAAAGCTATCCACCAAGATCAAGTCATCTTCATCCCTGAGATGCAAGGCTGCTTCAACTTTTGCAATTCAATAAATGTAATTCATCACATAAACAGAACTAAAGACAAAAATCACATGATAACCTCAATAGACACAGAAAAGGCCTTCGATAAAATTCAACATCCCTTCATGTTAAAAATTCTCAATAAACTGGCTCAAATAACAAGAGCCATTTATGAAAACCTCACGGCTAATATCATACTGAATGGGTAAAAGCTGAAAGCATTCCCCTTGAAAAACAGCACAAGACAAGGATGCCCTCTCTCACCACTCCTATTCAACACAGAATTGGAAGTTCTGCTGATCAGGGCAATCAGGCAAGAGAAATAAATAAAGCCTATTCAAATTGAAAGAGAGGAAGTCAAACTGTCTCTGTATGCAGATCACATGGTCCTATCATCAGAAAACCCCATCATCTCAGCCCCAAAGCTTCTTATGCTGATAAGCAACTTCAGCAAAGTCAGGATACAAAATCAATGTGCAAAAATCACAAGCATTCCAAGCAGAAAGCCAAATAATGAATGAACCCCCATTTGCAATTGCTACAAAGATGATAAAATACCTAGGAACACAGCTAACAAGGGAAGTGAAGGGCCACTTCATGGATAACTATAAACCACTGCTCAAGGAAATAAGGAAGGACACAAACGAACCTTCCATCCTCGTGAACAGGAAGAACCTATATTGTGAAAATGGTCACACTCACCAAAATAATTTATAGATTCAATACTATTCCCACCAAACTACCATTAACATTCTTCACAGAATTCTGGTAGAATTCGCCTGTGAATCTGTCTGGTCCTGGACTTTTTTTGGTTGGTATATTATTTATGGCCTCAATTTCAGAGCCTGTTATTGGTCTAGTCAGAGATTCAACTTCTTCCTTGTTTAGTCTTGGGAGGGTGTATGTGTCCAGGAATTTATCCATTTCTTCTAGATTTTCCAGTTTATTTGCATAGAGGTGTTTATAGTATTTTCTGATGGCAGTTTGTATTTCTGTGGGATCTGTGGTGATATCCCCTTTATCATTTTTTATTGCATCTATTTGATTCTTCTCTCTTTTCTTCCTTATTAGTCTTGCTAGCAGTCAATCAATTTTGTTGATCTTTTCAAAAAACCAGATCCTGGATTCATTGATTTTTTTGAAGGGGTTTTTTTTTGTCTCTATCTACTTCAGTTCTGCTCTGATCTTCGTTATTTCTTGCCTTCTTCTAGCTTTTGAATTTGTTTGCTTTTGCTTCTCTAGTTCTTTTAATTGTGATGTTAGGGTGTTGATTTTAGATCTTTCCTGCTTTCTCTTATGGGCATTTAGTGCTATAAATTTCCCTCTACACACTGCTTTGAATGTGTCCCAGAGATTCTGGTATATTGTGTCTTTGTTCTCACTGGTTTCAAAGAACATCTTTATTTCTGCCTTCATTTTGTTATGTACCCAGCAGTCATTCAGGAGCAGGTTGTTCAGTTTCCATGTAGCTGTGTGGTTTTGAATGAGTTTCTTAATCCTGAGTTCTAATTTGATTGCACTGTGGTCTGAAGGACCGTTTGTTGTGATTTCTGTTCTTTTACATTAGCTGAGGAGTGCTTTACTTCCAATTACGTGGTCAATTTTGGAATAAGTGCAGGGTGGTGCTGAGAAGAATGTATATTCTGTTGATTTGGGGTGGAGAGTTCTGTAGATGTCTATTAGGTCCACTTGGTGCAGAGCTGAGTTCAAGTCCTGGATATCCTTGTTAACCTTCTGTCTCATTGATCTGTCTAATATTGACAGTAGGGTGTTAAAGTCTCCCATTATTATTGTGTGGGAGTCTAAGTCTCTTTGTAGGTCTCTAAGGACTTGCTTTATGAGTCTGGGTGGTCCTGTATTGGGTGCATATATATTTAGGATAGTTAGCTCTTCTTGTTGAATTGATCCCTTTACCATTATGTAATGGCCTTCTTTGTCTCTTTTGATCTTTTTTGGTTTAAAGTCTGTTTTATCAGAGACTAGGATTGCAACACCTGCTCTTTTTTTTTTTTTGCCTTCCGTTTCTGTGGTAGCTCTTCCTCCATCCCTTTATTTTGAGCCTATGTGTGTCTCTACACGTGAGATGGGTCTCCTGAATACAGCACACTGATGGGTCTTGACTCTTTATCCAATTTGCCAGTCTGTGTCTTTTAATTGGAGCATTTAGCCCATTTACATTTAAGGTTAATATTGTTATATGTGAATTTGATCCTGTCATTATGATGTTAGCTGGTTATTTTGCCAGTTAGTTGATGCAGTTTCTTCCTAGCCTCGATGGTCTTTACAATTGGCATGTTTTTGCAGTGGCTGGTACTGGTTGTTCCTTTCCATGTTTAGTGCTTCCTTCAGGAGTTCTTGTAAGGCAGGCCTGGTGGTGACAAAATCTCTCAGCATTTGCTTGTCTGTAAAGGATTTTATTTCTCCTTCACTTATGAAGCTTAGTTTGGCTGAATATGAAATTCCGGGTTGAAAATTCTTTTCTTTAAGGATGTTGAATATTGGCCCCCACTCTCTTCTGGCTTGTAGAGTTTCTCCCAAGAGATCCTCTGTTAATCTGATGGGCTTCCCTTTGTGGGTAACCCGACCTTTCTCTCTGGCTGCCCTTAACATTTTTTCCTTCATTTCAACCTTGGTGAATCTGACAATTATATGCCTTGGGGTTGCTCTTCTCGAGGAGTATCTTTGTGGTGTTCTCTGTATTTCCTGAATTTGAATGTTGGCCTGCCTTGCTAGGTTGGGGAAGTTCTCCTGGATAATATCCTGAAGAGTGTTTTCCAACTTGGTTTCATTCTCCTCGTCACTTTTAGGTACACCAATCAAATGTAGATTTGGTCTTTTCACATAGTCCCTTATTTCTTGGAGGCTTTGTTCATTTCTTTTTCTCTTTTTTCTCTAAACTTCTCTTCTCACTGTATTTCATTAGTTTGATCTTCAATCACTGATACCCTTTCTTCCACTTGATTGAATCGGCTATTGAAGCTTGTGCATGCGTCATGTAGTTCTCGTGCCATGGTTTTCAGCTCCATCAGGTCATTTAAGGTATTCTCTACACTGGTTATTCTAGTTAGCCATTTGTCTAATGTTTTTTCAAGGTTTTTAGCTTCTTTGTGATGGGTTCTAACATCCTCCTTTAGCTCAGAGAAGTTTGTTATTACTGACTTTCTGAAGCCTACTTCTGTCAGCTCATCAAAGTCATTCTCCATCTAGCTTTGTTACGTTGCTGGCAAGGGCTGCAATCCTTTGTAGGAGAAGAGGCACTCTGGATTTTGGAATTTTCAGCTTTTCTGCTCTGATTTCTCCCCATCTTTATGGTTTTATCTACCCTTGGTCTTTGATGTTGGTGACCTACAGATGGGGTTTTGGTGTGGATGTCCTTTTTGTTGATGTTGATGCTATTCCTTTCTGTTTGTTTGTTTTCCTTCTAACAGTCAGGTCCCTCAGCTGCAGGTCTGTTGGAGTTTGCTGGAGGTCCACTTCAGACCCTGTTTGCCTAGGTATCACCAGTGGAGGCTGCAGCACAGCAAATATTGCAGAACAGCAAATATTCCTGCCTGATCCTTTGTCTGGAAGCTTCGTCCCAGAGGGACACCCACCTGTATGAGGTGTCAGTCAGCCCCTACTGGGATGTGTCTCCCAGTTAGGCTACACGGGGGTCAGAGACCCACTTGAGGAGGCAGTCTGTCAGTTCTCAGACCTCAAACACCATGCTGGGAGAACCACTGCTCTCTTCAGAGCTGTCAGACAGGGTCACAGGGTCATTTAACTCCGCAGAAGTTTCTGCTGCCTTTCGCTCAGCTATGCCCTGCCCCCAGAGGTGGGATCTACAGAAGCATCAGGCCTTGCAGAGCTGCAGTGGGCTCTGCCCAGTTTGAACTTCCCCAGCCGCTTTGTTTACCTACTCAAGCCTCAGCAATGGTGGAAAACCCTCCCCCTGCCAGGCTGCTGCCTCACGGGTCGATCTCAGACTGCTGCACTAGCAGTGAGCAAGGCTCCGTGGACATGGGACCCGCCAAGCCAGGTGTGGGATATAATCTCCTGGTGTGCCATTTGCTAAGCCTGTTGGAAAAGTGTGGTATTTGGGCAGGAGTGTCCTGATTTTCCAGGTACAGTCTGTTATGGCTTTCCTTGGCTAGGAAAGGGAAATCCCCTGACCCCTTGTGCTTCCTGGGTGATGCAATGCCCTGCCCTGCTTCGGCTTACCCTCCATGGGCTGCACCCACTGTCCAACCAGTCCCAATGAGATGAACCTGGTACCTCAGTTGGAAATGCAGAAATCACCGTCTTCTGCATCTATCACGCTGGGAGCTGCAGACCAGAGCAGTTCCTTTTTGGCCACCTTGGAACAGAATCTCTGGAGTCTCTTTTAAAGACATTAATCCCATTCATGCAGCCTCATGACTAATAGCCTCCCATAGGCCCCCACCTCTTAATACAATCAATTGAGGATTAGGTATCACCATGTGACTTTTGAGGGAACACAAACATTCAGACCGTAGCACCCTCCAAAGGTCGGAAATGAGGCCAACACACAACTGAACAGGAGCTTCACTTAAGGCACTTTGGAATGTAAGTAACCAAACCTAACTCCAGCTAGTTTGTCAAAAAAGCAGTTAGGCTTCCAGATAGAAGTGAAATTGGAAGCTAGAACTACATTAGGAACCTAGAAGAGGTGTTTTCTTCATTTCTCATCTCTGCTTCTCTTTACCTGCCTGATTCATTTGTTTTTCATTCTCTATGACCTGTTTTCTCAATTTGTCTGTTCATAGCCATCAATCCCCTGCAATTCCACCTCTCCCTGGCCCACCAATGCTCAGTTTTCATATGGCCATCAGTTCCAGAAACATACAGAAATTAACTGAATTGAGTTTGTACCCTGTTCTCATCAGCACTAGTGGAAAAGACATAGGAGAGCATCCCAAGCTGTACATATGGGAATCAGAATGGCCCCTGTGAATGGACAGGAAGTTCTCAGAAGCCATTTGGATTGCAGAGATAATCAGGTATACCTGCATGGAATATAGATTTGCACAAAGTAATGTATTTGAGAGTCTAAAGTATAGGAAATTAAGTAATATCAGAATCAGTCAAATCAAGTTACAGATTTTACTACCTTAACTACCACCCCATCCCCCTGACCAATGGTAGCTCAGGTTTTAAAGCATCAGTAGGTTGTAAGACAAATACCCTTTGTCTTTATTCTATTTAGACCACCCTCTGTCTACTAAGTTACCTCGTTAGCTTTACTTCTGATCTTTGGAAGAAGACTGGATAGTAGAAAGAGTAGCTTTCCATCTGAGCTTGTAACCATCTAAGAAAAACTGATCAATCTGCTTCCAACCATCTTGCAAGAACAATACCTTCCTTGTCCACACACACCCCAGATGCAAGGTGAGATCCTGATAATATAGGGAGTGGTTGAGGTGTGGAAGGAAAGAGAATCCATGGCCAATCTTGGTAAGAGGTTTTTCCTCAAGCTGGGGCAGTGATTAAACACACCCCTGTTACATGGACAATAACTTAATTATCATGCTAATATGCAATTATAAACTGAGGTGAGTGCTCCAAAGGAAAAAAAATTTAACAGCACCTAAGAAAAGGATCTGACCTAGAATGGAGGGTCAGGGATGGTTTTCCTCCGAAAATGGCATTTGAGCTGAATTTTCAATGACAAGTGGGAGTTAACTAGACAAAGGGAAGAAGAGCATGGCAATGCGAGGACCATGGTGTGTTCTAAGAGCTGGACAAGAGTCAATGTGGGCTGCAGAAGAGAAAGTGATTCAATGTAAGACTGGGAGGAAAATGCAGATCATGCAACGGCTAGTAAGTCAGATTAAGAACATTGATAGTTAAGCCAGGAAAGATGGGAAGCCATGGAAGGAATTTAAGTTGTGAAAAGATCCCTCTGACTGTAGTGTGGAAAATGGATGAAGAGACACCAGAGTGAAAGCAAGGAGGTTATTCCACGTATCCAATCAATAGATAATAAGCAGCTGGGCATGGTGGCTCACACCTGTAATCCCAGCACTTTGGGAGGCCAAGGTAGGTGGATCACGAGGTCAAGGGATCAAGACCATCCTGGTGAACCCCTGTCTCTACTATAAATACAAAAATTAGCTGGGCATGGTGGCACATGCCTGTAATCCCAGCTACTCAGGAGGCTAAGGCAGGAGAATCACTTGAACCCAGGAGGCAGAGGTTGCAGTCAGCTGAGATAGTGCCACTCCACTCCAGCCTGGTGACAGAGAAAGACCCTGTCTCAAAAAAAAAAAAAAAAAAAAAAAAAACAGAGAGAGAGAGAATAGTCAAAGACTAATGGATTTCTTCTGCTCTTCCCAACTTGTTTCTGGTCTTTCATACGACTTTAGACCTCAAAAGTCCTTGACATTGTGAAAGACCTCATTCCCACTTTCTATAGTTAGTTTTCTCTTTGTTGTTGTCATTGTTTGTTTCAGGACCTTAACATTTTAATTCTGCCCTATATCACTTTCCCTTTTTAAAAAACCTCATTCTATTTATAAGAACCATCTTGGATTTTAAAATATACACTAAAACAATTTAACATCCCAGACTTATACTTACCCACATCCCTGACCCTGTCTTATTCTGAGAGATTTCCCCTCTTCTCAGTTTCTTATTATTCTTTGGGTGTTATCCTTGGTTTTAAGTGCTACACTTTGAGGACCATTAAAAAAAATGTGTCCAGAGAATAATAATCAAGATAGTGAATAAACCTCAAACACAGGAGATTTGTGAAATCTCAATATTTTGCTTAACAAAGGGAAACCTTTGGGATTGAAATGGCAGATGCCTTCCAAATGCTATCACTAGAAATAAGTAGAAATTTTTTTTTTTCCTGTGTTACCCAAATGGTCAAAAATAGGACTAATTGTAGGATATCAAATGTGTACAAATGTATGCTTAAATATAGCAACCTTAGATCTTTCTATTTATTGTCTGAAAGTGGAATAGGCTATTTTGAGATGCAGTGAACTTTCAATCCTTGGAGATATTTAAATAGAATCTGGACAGTCACATGACAAGAAGTTGGGGAGAATCAACCACCAGATGGAGCTGAAACGGAGTGAACTTCCAGGTCCACCTTGAACCTTCCCCTCTAGTGCCTCTATTGTTCCAACAGCAACACTAATGCAGGGGACAGTGGACATGGGCCTTATTTTTAGGCCCCAGGTGACTTAGAGGAGACCACATCCCTGAGAGAGTCAGGCTGCTGCTTTTAAGGTGCGAGTGTGTGTTTAGGTAACTGCATTTCAAAAAGGTGTCTACTATTTTTTTTCCTTTGGTTAGTCATTGGTTGCAATTATCTAAATTTCAGTCCCTTCCATTAGCATGGATTATCATTTAACTACAACACAGAATGCATACTTCTTGCTACTGATTTACATAAGACAGTTACACTTAAATCAGTCATCAAATTGGTAAAAGACAAATTGCTATTTTAAAATACGTTTTTAAACAAGATTTTTCAGGAAAGAAAAACCTATACAGACCTTAATTTCTTTTAAAAGCCCACATTTTATGTGCTTCAGATAAGCAGATTTGGTGATATTTATTTAAACTTGGCATGCCTAGTAATTACAACATAATATTTGGTATTGAGTAGATTCTGGTTACAAGTTTCTTTTCCAACACCTGGACAATTTAGCCCAAAAGGAAAAAAGCAAAGAAGAAATTGGTCATGCTGACATGACCCTAAAACTTAATTCAGTCATTGTATTCTACCTTTTCCTCATCTCCCCAAACACACAAGAACAACAGTACTAATTATTGCTCTGCAGATGTATTAAATTTCCAATGTTAAGCTCTGTATATGGAGATGGCTTCAGCAACCCAATGAAGCAGAAGTTCTGCCTCCCCCTCACACCATACATACATAAAAGCTCATATTAAAAACCCCTTCCATCAAAATAGCTAGAAAAGAATAATTCAAATGTTCCTAGAATCAAGAAAAAAATAAATATTTAAGATGATGAATATCTCAGTTACCCTGATTTGAAAATCTTTACACAGGCCGGGCGCGGTGGCTCACGCCTGTAATCCCAGCACTTTCGGAGGCCGAGACAGGCAGATCATGAGGTCAGGAGATCGAGACCATCCTGGCTAACATGGTGAAACCCCGTCTCTACTAAAAACACAAAAAAAATTAGCCGGGTGTGGTGGCGGGTGCCTGTAGTCCCAGCTACTTGGGAGGCTGAGGCAGGAGAATGGCATGAATCTGGGAGGCGGAGCTTGCAGTGAGCCCATATCCCGCCACTGCACTCCAGCCTGGGCGACAGACCAAGACTCCGTCTCAAAAAAAGAAAAAGAAAAAAAAAGAAAATCTTTACACATTATATGAATGTATCAAACTATCACAAGTACCCTGAAAATTTGTGCATCTCTTATATTTCGATTTTTTAATCCCTTCCATATATCCTACTCTCACCACCTTCACTCTCAATGTTTAAAAGAAAACATCCTCTTTTGTTACTATATGTCACTCTTGCTTCTTTTTACTTTAAACTCGTAGCCGCTCTTCCTTTACCCCTGTTGCGTGTATGTGTCTATGTCTATACACACATATGCCTGTTTCCCTGATATTTCAGTGCAATATTCCAAGCGTATCTCTTTCCACACCCCTGTTTTTCTCTCACAATCAGGTCAGAGGAAGTGGAGGGAGAACAACAAACAGTAATGGACCAAAAAATATTCAGATAATGACCTGTCTTTTAACTTCTTACAGTAATACGTGGTACTTTTGAGTATTTATACTTTTCATCTTTAAAAATGTGTCTTTGAACATCTGCAGAACTTGCATGACTATCAAATATAATAAGAGCATGAATTTTGGTGATGATAAACTTGGGTTTTAATGTAAGATAATATTCATATAGTCAGATCACACAAGTATTGGGAGAATCATTGTGCACTGCTGTGGGCATAGCATGTGTTACAGCCATTCAGGAAACAATCTGTTAGTACCTAGTGAAATTAAGTAACATAACACATACAGTCCAGCAGTCCCATTCCTGGGCATATGTTGAATGATAGACAACATTAATAGATATTATAAGCCTAGTTAATACAGAAAAATCAGAAGCAGAATGAAACTTATAGCCAAATTTTTGCTTATGTATATTAAAAACACACACATCCACCAATACCACTATACATTTTATAAAGATTCATGTGTATCTTTGCATATATATGTAAACAAGTATATAATATATTTGATTTGTATATCAATATATACAATACAAATATATATATTCGTATATATTGATATACGAATATATATATTTGTATGTATTTATATACGAATATATATATTTGTATATATTATATATGTGCATAAAATATATATATTTGTATATATATTACATATATACAAATCTATAAATTGATGTCTATCAGGTAGGAGAAGTAGACACAGGATGAAGAGGAAATAAAAAAATAAGATAGGGACATTTCACAATTAACAGTAACATTAACTGTGAACTGAGAACCACAACTCAATTATGTCCACTTGAAGTTTAATAAATTTTAAAAATATACAATAAAACAAAAGTAATGCATACATACCATAAAAATGTTTAAACTCATAAAGGTATAAACAAATCACTTTCCATCAGCTTCTGATACACCAGACGCATTCGTTTTCTACTGCTGCATAACAAAATATAGTGCCCAGTGCATGGAAAACACATATTACCCTTCCTTTTTGTGCACTTTATCAACAATTTAATGAATTAAATAATCCCAAATAGGGATCATTCTGGATCTTCCAAATTAGTTGAGAGAAAAGGGGTGCCCATAGAAGAGTAATAAAGATAGAAAGATAAGTAACTTTGAGCAAGGATAGAGAATAGTGTCCCTCTTTGCTCCCTGATCAAATTGGTCTCTCTGTTTCCTATAGCCTAATCTTGTCCAGTTTGATTGCCTTGATCAAGACCTGTCCCTCTTCCCATTATCTTTATTAATTGAAACATACACCCTCAAATCTATACTCTCTGTGTCTTTCAAGGGGATATATAGATAATATAACTTAAAACAATATTGTGACATAACTGGATTTAACGTTAATGTGCTCTTGAGGAGCACCATGTAGCATATACATCTAAGCAAGAATGTTTTTACTTACATAATGTACAAAACCCAGGGATAAGAGTTCATTGGTGCAAACAGCAAACATCACTCCAGGTAGGAAGAGCCCACTGATGAGTGGATATTTGAGGCAGGGGAAATACTTGCAGTCATAGCTTCAAATTACACCATGAAAGTGGCCTTCTTCTCTTAAAGTTTGCTCTGCTGAGAAGAGCTCAGGAATCTAAGAAGATGCTGCACCTGACTGGGTGTGACTCCTACAGGAAGACCCCATACGTGACTCTTCAGCTTTCAACATGTGTTTCTTCATGAAGAAACAGCTTTTCCTTGCTCTAAACTCAAAAAAAAATAAAAAAGAAGAAGAAGAAGATTGATGTGAGAAGGGACCCAAGAGGGTTTTCTTTCTGATCTAAATAAAAGACTTTCTCTGGCAAGGAAGAGGAAATCAAACTCATTGTGTGTGGTATTGTGCCTTTGTCTCCCAAGGGAAAGAACAGCTTTTCCAAGGAATAGAATTCTTTCTTGCCTTTGCATCCACCAGTGTAGGGATCTGTGCAGACTGACACCTAGTGGTCTCCAGAACTCCTTTAGTAGCAAGAGTAAGAAGAACGTGTATGTGTGTGTGTTTCAGGCTTCGCGAAGCATCCTTTCTTCTTCCTACAGATTCCTAAACTATGAAAAAACTGAGTTGTTAATTGGTCTTGATTCCAATACCACATCTTTCTGACCATTAATATTTAATATCTGAGCAGCCCATAGATGTCACCAACTAGAAAGGAACAATGATTCTGATGTGTGAGAGCAATAATTTTGTCCAAATATGGAATAGAAAAGGCAGCAACAAAGCAAAGTATCCAATCCATCAGAATTCAAAGAATCAGTGGCTTCTGTAGTTGGAGTCTTCTGAGTTTATGCCAGAGTTCATCTCCACAAGATCCCACTCTGCCTTTAACACTTCACCCGGTGAACTTTTCCACTAGCCCATCTGTACTCCTGGTTGGACTGAAGAAGTTAAGGGGCTGAGAAGTGTATAATGTACTTGGGAAATCTGAACTTATCCTGGTAATTGATTGCTCTCCAGGAACCACTGGAAAACTCCTCCATGGTACATTAAGAGAGGTGTTTGTACTTCCTCCTACCAATAGATTATCTTCTAAAGAAGGCTCCAGAAAATTTTGAATTTGGCTTCCAAGGGTCTACGTTGACAAGAACTTCTTTTTAGGTAACACACAAAATGAAAATGGAGGGAAGCCAACTAGAAGGTATCAGACTTAAATCTTATAAATTCCATTTGGGGGATCAAAAAATTATAATACACATGACTGAGTTTGGCCACCAAAACAGGTAATAAGAGTAGATGCTGGAAAATAATACTGGAGGAAAGAATTTGGTGGGAGAAGTTAAAATAAATTAGCTCACATCTGTTGCGGGAAGTCAGGGACCCCGAACGGAGGGACTGGCTGAAGCCATGGCAGAAGAACATAAATTGTGAAGATTTCATGGACATTTATTAGTTCCCCAAATTAATATTTTTATAATTTCTTATGTCTGTCTTTACTGCAATCTCCGAACATAAACTGTGAAGATTTCATGGATACTTATCACTTCCCCAATCAATACCCTTGTGATTTCCTATGCCTGTCTTTACTTTAATCTCTTAATCCCGTCATCTTCGTAAACTGAGGAGGATGTATGTCACCTCAGGACCCTGTGATGATTGCGTTAACTGCACAAATTGTAGAGCACGTGTGTTTGAACAATATGAAATCTGGGCACCTTGAAAAAAGAACAGGATAACAGCAATGTTCAGGGAACAAGGGAGATAACCTTAAATTCTGACTGCCAGTGAGCCAGGAAGAACAGAGCCATATTTCTCTTCTTTCAAAAGCAAATGGGAGAAATATTGCTGAATTCTTTTTCTCAGCAAGGAACATCCCTGAGAAAGAGAATGTGTCCTGAGGGGAGGCCTCTGAAATGGCCGCTTTGGGGATGGCTGTCTTTTATTGTCATAGCTGATGGATGAAATAAGCCCTGGTCTCCTGTAGCGCTCCCAGGCTTATTAGGATGAGGAAATTCCCACCTAATAAATTTTGGTCAGACTGGTTGTCTGCTCTCAAACCCTGTCTCCTGATAAGATGTTACCAATGACAATGCATGCCTGAAACTTCATTAGCAATTCTAATTTCGCCCCAGTCCTGTGGTCCTGTGATCTTGCCCTGCCTCCATTTGCCTTATGATATCTTATTACCTTGTGAAGCATGTGATTTCTGTGACCCACACCCTATTCGTACACTCCCTCCCCTTTTGAAAATCACTAATAAAAACTTGCTGGTTTTACGGCTCGGGGGGCATCACGGAACCTGCCGACATGTGATGTCTCCTCCAGCCACCCAGCTTTAAAATTTCTCTCTTTTGTGCTCTTTCCCTTTATTTCTCAGACTGGCTGACACTTAGGGAAAATAGAAAAGAATCTACATGAAATATTGGGGGTGAATTTCACCTGATACACATCCTAGTAGAAACCTGGGAGAATTGGTTTTCCCAGCTTTATAAACTAAAGGTTAACTGGCCCCAAACTTTGCAAGTCCCAGGCCAATTTTTACCTGAGACCTGGTAACAATTCATTACATTTTATAATTGATTTTAAAAGCTCATGCCAAATAGGATTCAGAGAATACTTTCTGTCCACAAAATTGAAAGGTGGACTCTGATGATTGACAAATGTGTTTCTCTTCGTCATCTCTACAGGCATGACTCTATCTGGTTGGACTTAGAAGACCTCTCCCAACCCATTACTTTGTAAGTTTTTCAACCCCAAAATGCATTGCAGTTTTTTTAATGAGCATCAAACCTGTTCAACCCAAAACTTTACATACATTTTTTCTCTACTTTTTATAGTTTCATGTTTTTGTCACCTTTAAATTTTCCCTTTAGAGCACTGTTGACTCCATGACCAGTCAGTTCTGCCCTACATTGCATTAGCTCAATAAAGATTCACCATTTTTAAGTGAATACATTGTAACAAACCTGCACATGTAACCCCTGAATCTAATATTAAAAGTAACAATAAGTAAAATAAGATAAAATGAATACAGAACCTGTGTCTTACCATATGGTTCGGTTTATGGTTGTTAGCAATATTTTTAATGTTATTTTAAAGATCTTTTTGAAGAAATAATTTCAAATGGGGTAAAACGAGTATCAGTTTGACGGTCCTTTTAATCAATGTTGTCATACAGTGGTTGATTTTTCATTTTTGTTTTCAAAGACCTGGATGCATGTACTCCCCATTCTCAAAAAATAAAATAAAATAATAAAGATAAGCATTCTCATACATACAGATGGCTTCATTCTACTGTCATGCATTTATTGGTCTTAATAGACAGTCAGCCCTACTTTCTACACCAAAGAGTTACAGTCAAACATTAGAAAAAAAAACAAAACCTATAGAAAAGTAGTTCATTCAAGAAATCAGGTGGACAATTTGTAGGTAATTCTTAGACTGCCCAAGGTAATACATTCTACTGGTGTTTTACCACATTATTGTATATCCCACATGGGCACTTGGTTATACCTCTTACAAAATATTTTTAGACTGATAACATTGTGGACATGATTAAGTACCCAAGTTCTGGGGTCTTGAATATTATTCTTCAATGAACTGGAGTGAAAACAAAACTGCTTCTTGAGGAGAATTTTGGCCCAAACCAGGAGTCCCACTCCTCACCTTTTTGTGCATGTTTCCAGGAAAGGTGTCAGGGGAAGAGTGGCCTTTCATTGTGGGCATGTGTCCTTCCTTCTCAGGTTCTTCAGCTGTCCTCAGAGAATTTAATCCCTATCCCCAACTCTGCTGATTGGAAGAATACTCAGCTCACTTCTTTTAAAATATGCACAAAATCTTCTACTTGGTGCTTTTTACATCAGAAATGAGCAATTTGAATTCAAAGTCATTCAATATTTATCAAAAGTTGAGTTAAAGATAATACAGAAATTCTTCAGAAAAAAACCTATGAGCCTCTTCTTGCATCAAGAAGATAACTTAAGAAAAATAAAACAGTAAATTTAGAAAACTTGATTTCTAAGAAGAGGCATTAATTTAAAATATAAAACAATACAAGAAAAGTTTAGATATTCCTAGAATTATTTTACTAGAAAAGTTTGGAATATATTTCTAATTTTTGAGGTAAAATCATGGAAGAAAAATAAATATATAAAGAGGCAACTGTGACTGTGTGTGTGTGTGTGTGTGTGTGTGTGTATCAAATTTATCTGCCATTGACAGGTAAAGAATCCCGGTGTGCCTGGAGGATATCAGATCCTGGAAGACAAATGTTCTTCCTTCCTCCATTGACATGCACTATTCTCTTTAGGAATATTATATTCAAGGTCCCAATGTGACTTTGAATATATACAACAAGTTCAAACAGCCTTCTAGCTTTATTGGCCACTGAGGTAATACTTCCCTTCCTTATCCTTATGCATGGATGCCACAATACAATTTTCCATGCAGCTGAGAGATAATGTGATTCTGTCTTCCATTCCTCTCACCTCCCTGATTCTCTGCTCCAACCTGTCTAATTCAAACAGAGAATCACCTGGTGCTTAGCTGGCAGCTTGTTTGATTGCTGCCTGTTTCCTGCGTGTTTCTTGAGGAGACACAGAAGGCAGAAGAACAGGCTGTTTAAAGACATCTGTGTGGGGGGTGCGTGAGTGCACACACACACGGTGTGTGTCTGAGGAAACACGCATTTCCTGGTGGGTATTCCCCCCATAAAATTCCCAAATAACAGGATCCAAACATACATGAAACAAAACTTACAGAATTGAATAGAAAATAGACAATTCAATATGAATAATTGGAGATTTTAATCCTCACTTGCAATAATGGAAAGAACAACACAACTGAATATCAGCAAGGAAATAAAGGACTTGAGCAACACTGCACAGCAACTTAATTTAGCAGACATCTATAGAACACAGCAGAATCCAGCAACAGCAGAACACACTTTCTTCTCAAGCTCACATGGAACATTTTATAGGACAGACCATATGTTAGGCCATAAAATAAACTTCAGTAAATTTTTAAAAAGAGAATAATACAAAGTATGTTCTCCTACCACAATAAAATGAAATTAGAAGTAAATAACAGAAAGAAATTTGAGAAATTTACTAATATGTAAAAATTACACAACACACTCCTAAATAACCAATGGGTAAGAAAAGAAATAAAAAAAAAATTAGAAAAATGCATCGAGATGAATCACAATGAAAATACAGCATATCGTAATTATGGAACACAATGAAAACAGTACTTAGATAGTTATAGCTGTAAATACCTATATTTAAAAAGAAGAAAAATCTTAAATTGATATCTTAACCTTTTGTCTTAAGAAACTAGAAAAAGAACAAACAAAAGCAAGGGGGAAGAAGAAAAGGATAAATACTGAAGTGTAAATAAATAAATAACAAGAAACCAATAGAGAACATAAGCAAAAGTAAAATTTGGTTCTTTGAAAAGATTAATACAATTGACAAATGTTTAGCTAGACTGGGCCAAGAAACAAGAAAAAGAGTAAAATTACTAAAATCAGAAATGAAAGAAGGAATATTACTACCAACCTTACAAAAATAAGAAGGATTATAAGGGAAGACAAAAAACAATTGTATTCTAATAAAGTAAATAATCTAGATAAAATGGACAAATTCACAGAAAAAATGAAACTATCAAAACTGATTCAAGAAGAAGCAGAATATCTGAATACACCAATTACAAGTAAAGAGATTGAACCAGCAATTTTAAAAAGGTTTCTTAATCTTCCCAGGATGAGAGGGCTTCACTGGTGAATTCTACCAATTGTTTAAAGAAGAATCAATATCAATCCTTCACAAAATTTCTAAAATTCAGAAGCAGCAAGAATATTTCTCAGCGTATTCTATGAGGCTACCATTAACCTGATTCTAAAAAACACAAAGGCATCACAAGAAACAAAAACTACAAACCAATATCCCTTATGAACATAGATTCAAAATTCCTCAAAAATATTCTAGAAAACTAAATCCAGCAACATATAAAAAGTACACCATAACCAAGTGAGATTTATCCCAAGAAGGTAAGGTTGGTTCGGTATATAAAAATCAACCACGTAATATACCATAATAATAGAATATAGAACAAAAACTACATGATCATCTCAATAGACAGAAAAAAGCATTTGCCAAAATCCATCACCATTTCATCAATAAAAATACTGCATCACTTAGGAATAGAAAGGAACTTCCTTAACCTGATAAAGAGCATCTATGAAAAACCCACGGGTAACGTTATACTTAATGAAAAAGACTGAAAGCTTTCCCTCTAAATCAAAAATAAGATAAATATGTCCACTCTTTATACTTCTACTCAACACTCTGCTGGAGGTTCTAGTCAGGGCAATTAGACAAGAAAAAGAAATAACAGGTATCCATATTGGGAAAGAAGTAAAATCATCTCTATTTGCAAATGTCTTAAATTTATACATAGAAAATTCCGAATAACCCCTTAAAAACTATTAGAACTAATAAGTTCAGTAAGGTTGCAGAATACAGATCAATATACAAAAGTCAATAGTGTGTTTTTTTACACTATCAATGAATAATCTGAAAACAAAATTAAGAAAACAATTCCATTTACAATATCAAAAGGAATAAAACACCTAGGAATAAATTTAATAAAATGAGTAACAACTAGTACTCTGAAAACTACAAAACATTGTTGAAAGAAATTAAAGAATATCTAGATTAAGGCAAAGATATCCCAAGATCATGTATTTAAAAGCTTAATACTGTTAAAATGGCAATAATCCAAAAGTTGATCTACAGATTAAATGGAATCTCTGTCAAAATTTCTACTGACTTTTTTTGCAGAAGTTGACAAGCTGATCCTGAGATTTATATGGAAATGCAAGACTCGGAATAGCTAAAAGAATTTGAAAAAGAACATAGTTGGAGGACTCAAATTTCCTGACTTCAAACTTATTATAAAACTGCAGAAATGAAGAGTGTGATACTGGCATAAGGGTAGGTATAAACATCATTGGAATAGATTTGGGAGTCTAGAAATAAACCCTACATTTATGGTCAGCTTATTTTGGGGAATCAATTGAGAATAGTGAAATCCATAGAGACAGAAAATTGATTAGCGGGGTTGTCAGGGGCTAGAGGGAGGAAAGAATGGAGAGTGACTGCTAGTACTTACAGGACTTTTGGTGGATGATGAAAATTTTGTGGAACTGCATAATAGTGATGGTTGCACAACTTTATGAACATATTAAAACCACTGGATTGCACACTTTGTTAAAAAATGTATGAATGGATGAATGAATGAATGACTATTCCAAATCATCCTCACACTTCTAGACATTTATCAAAGTTTGCCCTATTATATGATTATTTCTGAACATGGATGGCCTCCCCATATAGATTGTATGATGCTTAAGGAAAAGAATCACATGCCATTTACTCTTGTATCAAGAAAAATATTTATACCTGGTAGGAGATCAATAAACCCTTGTTGAATAAATTGATATCCCCAACACTCCAAGCTTTCTAACACTTATGTTTCCCTAAGAGCCTTCAATATGCTTGAGTAGACTCCAAAACCACAGATCCAGCCTCACCCACTCAGCTTCTTTGAGATCTGCAGCAGTTGCTTGCCAGATAATTAGAACCAAGAGCTTGTTTATGTCAATGCTGATTTTATTCCATTCCTTGTCTGAAGAGCTATTTTGCTAAAGTGTTTTTCATTAGGAGTTAAGTGATTCAATTCTGTGTTATACTCATCTTCCTCGTCTTCCAATAATCCAGCCTTTACTATGTCCCAGCCCCCTCTTCTTCTCCAGTCTCCCCTGTCCTTCTACATCTTCTGCTTTCTAAATTTGGAATTCTGTAGCCAAACAATGCACATTTTTTTGTTTTTATTGTCCTGGTCTTGCGGAAGGTTGATAGTTACCTCCACTCTGTGCTTTGGCACTCATTTATTCATCCATTCATTTATTCAACCAATACCTATGAACACCTAATATATACCCCCACACTGTTCCAGTTGCTCTGTTGCTCTGATTAATTTTGTTTTTACTCGTTGACATGGAAATGAAGTGTGTGTTTGCTTATGCAGCCAAAGGAATTTGTGTCGCACATCCTCTGAGAATGTTAGAGGAATTTGGTGTTTGTATGTGCTAATACCTAGTGATAAACTAGCAGACTCATTGATTAATAATTTCCATATTTGAAGGATCTTGAAACATGAATCAACTCCTTTTCATCTACCATAGGTACCAGTATTTTAATCAATTCGAATTTCAAATCCTTCTTGCAAATTTAAGCAAATTGCCATCTGTTGCTCAGGTTGCACTGGTTATGGCTTCAGTGTTACTGTTACCTTTGCAGCTTAAGTCAAAAAGGAAAAAGAAGAAGGAATAATTGTTGAGCATTAACATCTTGCTTATATAGGCATTCCTGACATATAATTACTGGCAGCTATCCAGAAAATGTGGCCTAGTTTCTGGAGGCCTGTTTAGTCTGCCATATTAAAAGATGCACAATAATGTAATCAACTCAAGAATTTGATTATCTGTACCTATATATTTTCTTTTTAATAGTGTAACAAAATCCTTCAGTCCCATTTTAAGAAAGCCTCAGAAACTGTTAGGCTTCATGCTGAGCTGAGTTCAAACTTATTATAAAACTGCAGAAATGAAGAGTGTGATACTGGCATAAGGGCAGGTACAAACAGAGAGAGGCCTAGATGTTCTGTGTGTGACTATCTGAGCAATGATTTAGGTGGGCAGAGCCGCCAGCTTCCAGACTGGCAGACCCAGTTTCAGGAGAGACAGTATCAGAGCACGGTGCTTGCTTGGGCCTGCCCCTTTCTCTCACTCCTCAAACAACCATTAGTCCTGTTTTCCAGCAGCTGCCTGTAGAGGAACCAAAAACAATTTTTTTTTTAATCAACCCTCACTCTGGTCTTCATGGAAAGCTGCCTACTTTGCTGTTGGGCCTCTCAGATTGCATGTTTGATCTATCAGGAACTGGCCTTCCTCCACCAACTCAGAATTCTCTCTAGTCTGGTAAGTAAATGTGTGCATCTGAACATTGAAATGTTTTTAAATCCTGAAACCAATTCAGAGGACTGTAGATCTGGAAGGCTGCTTAGAGCCTTGTTTAGTCCAGAGACCAGTAGCATCAGCATCACTTGGGTAATGCAGAAATGCCAATTATTAGACTTATTCCAGACTTTTACTGACTTAGAATCTCTGAGGGTGGGGCACAGAGATCTGAATGTTTCAAAGCCCTAAAGGTGATCCTGATACTAACTAAAGTTTGAGATGCCCTGGCATGTTTGTTATTCTGTGCCATTCTTCACATTCTGACCTCTTGCCTAAAGCCGGTTCACTTCTTTCTCAGAACCTATGGCCTGAATACCTGTTCCATTGTATCTTGCCCCTGTCACTGTTTCCCCTAGATGAGAGTTACTGATTCCAGCCTCCATTGTCCTCTCTGGACTGAACTCTGTATCTGCAGGCTCATTCCTGCACTTTCTTACTTTTCGGAGCTCAGTCTCTCACCTGTCTGCCTATGCGAGCTACCTTCATGCTTCAATTCCAACCTTTCTTCCTGCCTACAACTCCCCTCTTCTGACCTTACTGCAGAGGGTGAAATCTACACATTAAAGCTACCAGAGCATGATGCCTATTAACACAGGTATCCAAAAAGTTCTCTGTGCCATCTGTCTTTCCCCCTTGCTGCCTATCTTCCACACAGCTGCCAGTTATTTTCCTAAGGAACAAAACTGATACTATCGTCCGCTAAAAAGTCTTACAGACTTGCAATTACAGGCACAATTTTCTGCAGGATAAAGTTCAAATTCCTTAGCGTGATATCCAAAACCCTCCACAGCCTATAACTAATTTATATCCTGAATTTCATTGCTATTGTCCCTCTCACCCCCAGCACTACACCTCTCTCATGTCAGCCTCACATGTCTGACAATCTACTTGTCAGGCGTCAGTGCCTTTGCACCTGCTATTTCCTCTGCCTGATTTGCTCTTCTTCTTACTTCGCCGGTGACTAGTTTTTTAAGACTCAATTCAAGTGCCATCCCTTCAGTAAGGCTCTCACCACCTCCTTCAGGCTGAGTTACATGCACTTTTCCCTGGGCACTTGGTTGACAATTTTCATCTCATCACTTGTGACATTGTGCTTGAATTGTCAGTTTATATATCTTCTTTACAAACTAGAAACTGTTCATGCACAGAGAGAGTGTCTTGTCTTAATTGAAATTAAGAGCCTAATATGGTGGAGGGGCATGTTGTAGAAACTCAATAAATACTGCCAAATGAATATTCGGATTCTTAAGAAGTGTGCCCCAAGGAAATGCTGTAATAAGGAAGCTTGCTTTATAAATGTGCATGAGGTAAACCCCTTTGTAAATCAGGGATCCATTTTGTAAAGAAATAAATTACTTTGTGATATAAAATAGTCAATCCCTGATTCGTCTGTATAGTATTTCCATATCTATTATTATCCTAATATAATAGCATACCTATTATTTTTTCAAGCATATCTGCAATTTATACTGGCTTTCTAATTCGGAAAGTTCGTTGCTTATTCCGGGTACCTGAAGGTTTGTTTTATTCCAACTTCTGATAGACTAGGGTTTTCTAGAAAAAGACAAGGAATGTATGTGAGTTGTGACTTGTGAGTGCATGGAATTTAAAATATAAAAAAAGTTTAAAAGCTTCATTTTTAATATATGAAATAAATCTTATAGGTTTTTATGAAATTTTGTAGGTTTTTATGAAAAAATCTAAATCACTTTAAGTACTACTAAATTCAAGTTGTTTAAAGAAAATTCCATGTCATCTATAATACGTGTATGATACAATAGTCACCCTTTATCTTTGCGGGATATATTCCCAAACCCCCACTGGATATCTGAAATGGAAGATAGTACCAAGCCCTATAGAGACTATTTTTCCTATACATACATCCTATGATTTGATTTAATACCATTTCCATCTTAACTAAGCACTTATCACACCTGTGGCCATAACTTTTGTAGTTTGAAGTGCAGCAGCAAAACTAGAAGAAATTTCTTTTTCCTCATTCACAATGTCATGGATAGATTTGTTCTTACTGTAGATCTTAGCAGCCTCAGCAACTGATTTTTTCTCTTTCCTTATTGAGTCAATTACTTTCACCTTTTCTTTTCTTTTCTTTTCTTTTCTTTTTTTTTTTTTTTTTTTTTTTTTTTTTGACGGATTTTTGCTGTCGCCCAGGCTGGAGTGCAGTGGTGCCAGCTTGGCTCACTGCAACATCCATCTCCCGGGTTCAAGTGATTCTCCTGCCTCATCCTCCCAAGTAGCTGGGATTACAGGCACCTGCCACCATGCCCAGCTAATTTTTGTCTTTTTAGTAGAGACTGGGTTTTGCCTTGTTGACCAGGCTAGTCTCGAACTCCTGACCTCAGGTGATCTGCCCACCTCGGCCTCCCAAAGTGCTGGGATTACAGGCATGAGCCACCATGCCCAGCCTTTACCTTTTCACTTAAAGCACTTTACAGCTTCTCATTCCCATATTTGAATTGCTAGCATCACTACTCTTGTGCTTTGGGGCCATTATTAAGTAAAATAAGAGTTCCTTGAACACAAGCACTTTGATACCACAGTAGCCAATCTGATAACCTAGATGGCTACTAAGTGACTAATGGGTGAGTAGTGTATACAGCATAGGTACCTAAACAAAGGGATGGTTCACATCCTAGGTGGGACAGAGCTGGAAGGTGTGAGATTTCATCATGCTACTTAGAACAGTAAGAGATTTAAAACTTATGAATTGTTTATTTCTGAGATTTTCCATTTAGTATTTTTGGACTGCGGTTGACTGGGGGTAACTGACACTGCTGAAGGTGAAACCATGGATAAAGGAAACTGCTGTATTCTCACGTGTAACATCACCGGAGCCACCAGCAGGCTTATGATTTCTATTTGATAGGTGAAGGGTGCCTTACAGCCTTTGTAACTAGTGCCCTCTAGGGCTATGCAGTTCCCTACCTACACAATGATTCTTGACGACTTCAATGTAAAATAAAAGGTCTATGCTTCATCACAAACAGTTTTCTTCTAGCTCTTAGTGGAGTCTCCCCTATACCAGTGATTTTTTATGGGGTAGTCCTTTATGGCTACAATGATTGTAGGAGAGTGGTGCTCCTGACACACAATAGGCAGGGCAAAGGAACGATATGCTTCCAAAACTTTATGGACCAGTCCTTTAAACAAAGAATTGTCTATGTCCTGCACCCTTTTTTTTTAATGTCCTGCTAACTTTTTTATGAAAGCAAAAAGAGTTGTTTATAATTATCTTCACCTAGAATCTAATGCTGTTTTACATATAAACAAAAAGTAGTTTTACAGTCCTAATATATACTGAGTTTTTCAGGAATGCAACAATCCAGTAAATAAAAAGTTGTTATTTTTTAACTTTACAACTTTACCAAGAGTTCTTGGTAAATGACTGTTTGCCGTTCTAAAAAAAATAAAATATATCACTCAAAGAAATGCTGTTCCTGGAATTTAGGTCACCAACATAGCACCTATACCAGTCTGCATTCGTAGCTGTTCAAGTCACAGGAGATGCTGTGCAGGGGTGCAAGCATATGCCTACTATTCTGTGTCTTCTGATGGAATTGTGTCTAAGCATTTCCATATTGAAATACAGAATATTCTATTACAAATGGTTTTCTTTTAATTCATCCTTGTTTTAGTTAGAGAATTATATTAATTTTTAAGATTATATATATCTAAACACATAAATATAAATTTATAACTATACTGATATATATAGCTATATATAGTTATAGTATATATAAATTTGTATATAAAAATTATGTATATGTAAATATATATATCCATATATAGTAGCTATATATATATAATTTATAGCTAACCCATGTATATATAGCTATATATATGGGTATAGCTATAAATTACATCTAAAGAAAGTATAAAGGACCTTACAAAATATTTGTTATTAAAAGGGACAATGTGGTCTTAAATGGTTGAGAACATCTGCCATAGGTTGTACATTCTCTCTTCAAATTGTTGCCTTATGGAAAAAAAGAACTTTAAGCCCCATTTTCACCAGTTCCAGCTCATAACCATTTCAATTTCTGAATTAAAATTAAACTCAAAACATTATTCCCAATTATTATTTGAGGTTAAACTACAAGTTTCCTGAAGAAAATATGTACAGATTGTTTGTTTTTATTTTTTAAAACTTATTAATCATTTGTTTTTGGAATTTTTCACTTAATACTTTCAGATGTCAGTTGCCTGCAGGTAGCTAAAACTGAAGAAGTGAACTCACAGATAAAGGAGGACTACTATATATATATACAAATTAATGAGTGTTGACATTTATTTGAATAGAAACTAGGGGCATCTTTTTTCCCTTTAGCTTTAGTTGACATGTAATAATTAATATGTACAGTTTTGTTTTGTTTTGTTTTGTTTTTTGAAACAGGATCTCACTCTGTCGCCCAGGCTGGAGTGCAGTGGCACGATCTCGGCTCACTGTAGACTCTGCCTCCCTGATTCAAGCAATTCTCATGCATTCCTTCCTTTCTTTCTTTCCTCCATTTTTAAGATATACACTGAGTAACTACTTTGTTGTCAGTCACAGTTTCTCAATGAACAAGAGAGAGCAGTCTCTGCTTTGATGGAGCTTATACTGAAATTAATGAAGACAGACTACAAATCAGCAAGAAGAAAAACTCCTATTAGTAATAAACATTTTACAGAGAATTGCAAAGGATTATGTGTTGGTTGTGCTAGACAGACCAAATGGCTGTTTTACATGGGGTAGTTAGAGGAGATTTCTTTGAGAGGGTAATCTTTAGGCTGAAATACTAACGACTAGAAGTGAGCCATTCAGGTATGAGGCAGAACCGTATGCCAGGCAGGGGGAACAGCTTGCACCAAGCCCTAAGCTGAGAAGGGAACAAGCTTAGAGACAAGAGAACATAGTGGTACGTGGAGGTGGAGGGATGGGAAAGAATAGGGGTGGGTCAGACATAGCGAGGAAGGGGAAAGTCAACAGATTGGAAGTGTCGATGAATTGCTGCTGTGATGAATATTCCACAGTAGGTGAGCTGTAAGAATAGAAGGATGAGGGAAGGAAGGAAGGAAGGAAGGAAGGAAAGAAGGAAAGGAGGGAGGGAGGCAAGAGAGGGCGACAAAGGAACTATGTAAAATAAATGTTAGTAAAGAAGCATTCCCCCACATTTTTAAAGTAAACACAAGAGGAGACTATGAAAAACATAATAAAAGTCATGACAATTGTGATGTGACAAGCTCTGACTCCCCTGATCTCCCTTAAGGAAAGCTGCTCATTTGTTTACTTCTCTCTTTTTTCTTCACCCATTTGTTCTATCAGGATTTATTAAACTTATACTATTTCCCAGGTTCTGTGCCAGGCACTAGGGCTGTATAAATCAGACACGTTCCCCACCTATGGGGAGAACCCAGGTTATCAAAAGAAACAACTATATCAATATGAGACAGCACAGGGTGAGAAGTGCCAGTACACAGGCTTTTAGAAAGAACAGTCATGGCACAGGCGGGAAAATGAATAGCTTTCCTTAAGAGGGATCAGGGAAGTCAAAGCTTGTCACACCATCACTGTCATGACTTTTATTTATTTATTTATTTACTTACTTATTTATTTATTTATTTTTGTTTTGCTTTGTTTTGTTTTGATTTTTGATGCTGTTCCTCATCCAAATCATTGAGCATGAACGCAGTAAAGCATGCACTTATAAGATATGCACTTACATGGATGTTAAAAACATGAGTTTTAAAGCCAGCCTAAGTTCACATCCTCATGCAACTACTTCCTAGCTAAATGAGTTTGGACAAATTACTTAACCTGTTTGTACCTCAGTTTCCCCATTTATAAAATGGATATGATGACAAAATCGACCTCATAGTACTGTATGAGAAATTATGAAGTTAATCTACGTGTATCAATTAGCTTTCGATACATAGAAAACTTCCCAAAAGCTTAATAATTTAAAACAACGATTATAATTATCAGCTCATACGTCTTTTGTGTTGACAGTTTGCATGGGGTTCAACCAAGCAGTTCTTCTGCTGGTCTCTCCTAGATGCATTCATGTGCTGGGAGTCAGTGCACAGATCTGCTTGGGCTGGCTTGTCCCACCTGGTCTCACTCATATGTCTTGCACTTGGCTGGGGTGGCTGAGCCATGTATCACCCGCATGTAGTAGCCTCACTGGACTTTTTCACGAGGTGACTGGGTTCTAAAGGCTGGAAACGCAAGGTCACACACCCGTGCCCAAGCACTTTTCAAGCCTTACGACACATGTGCTAATATCTCACTGGTTTAAGCAAGCCATATGACCAAGTCCAGAGTGAAGAGGTAAAGTAATAGACACTACTTCTTGATAGGAGATTCAATATATTGTGGTCATTTAAAAAATATATATATATAAATATAAATATATACATATATATAATATATACCACAACACAAGCACTTAGGATGGTGGCTAGCACATAGTATGCCTTATTTAATAAACTAGTTAACATTACATGAGGCTACACTTGTGCAGATGCTTTACAACCCAGCCCATATCACACTCACTCTAAGTAAAAATGAAAATAAATTGTAAAATTGGAAGTAGAGACAGGAAGTAGAATCAGAATGAAACATCCTCACACAGTTTTATATTACAGAAAAAATGCTAGTACTACCAAACATGCAAAGCTGAACTCCACTTACAAGAGGCTGTTCAGATTTCTGTATTTTCAGCATGGCTTAGTGGGCAGGAAGGTGTAGGGTACTAGGTCATGGTTTCTGGAATCAACTGCTCTAAGTTAGAATTCTAGCTTGCTATTTACTAGCTGGGTAGCCTCAGACTAATTACCTAACAACTCTGCGCTTCCATTTTTGTAGCTACAGTATTGGAGAAATGGTAAATTGTAACTCCTGGGGTCTTTGGGAGGATTAAATGAAGCATAGTGTATAAAGTGCTGCTGGTGTATAGTGAGCATCCAATAAATGTTAGCTATTTTTCTTTAATTTTTTAAGAATAAAAAATAGTCTGGTGTTGTTCAGAGATGTCCGACCTTGGTAGCACATTGGAATTACTAGGGGAGCATAAAAATACTGATTTTTGCCTCTTTGGCCCACCCCAGAGATTCTGATATAAATGAATGGTCTGGAGCGAGGCCCTTGCCCAGTGGATTTTAAAAGCTCTCAAGGTAATTCTAATGCACAGCTAAAATTCAGAACTACAGGTCTTGTTGAACAGGACATTAGAGATGATCCAGGGCAAACTCATCATTTCATAAGTGAGAAAATTGAGGCTCAAAGAGGTGATAGGAATTGCTTAGTGACAGCCAGGTGGTGGACAGAAAAACCAAATCCAGGTACCCTGACTCCTGCTCATAGCTCTGTCCCTTTCATCTGGCCACCGGAAGAACAGGTTAGCCAAGGTCAGCCTGGCTGTGATCCTCATCACCGAGAAGTGATAGCCAGGAAAGAGGAAGCTGAACTCCTGTTAAGCCTACCTGATGCCAAATTCTATGTTCCTAAATTAACTCCAAGAATAATTTTGGTCTCTCTTGATGCTTAATCTTTCCCCTATACTTTCAGGTTTGATTCATAGTGGATTCAGATTCTGCCTATGTTAGTTTAAATTAGGCTTTTATTTCATTTCTTCAGTTTTCCTTAGAGATAAAATTCCATCTTATATACACATTCATGCATGCTCAGAGCTACATTTCAAAGGGGAAAAAAGCAGACTTCTTCTTCCCTTCTTTCCTTCCTTCCTTCCTTCCTGCCACCCTCCCCTTCTCTCTCTTCCTTTTCCCTCCTTCATCCTTCCTCTGACCCAACCCTATGAAGGACATTTATCTTAGATTACTATCTTCTTTGACGATTGTGAATAATCATGTAAAGAATTGCCTTCTCCTTTTAAATCCTTTATGGAAGTGGTAGTGTTCCTTGGTTCATAATAACAATTCTACTGAATTGCCAATAATTCTCAGAATCAGGGGTCATCCTCCCCACAGTGTCAAGAAAGACAGAGGAGGTTCTGTGACTGTGATTTGGTGAGAGATTGACTCATTAGGGCTAAGATAAATGGACGGTTAGCTAGCAATGTCAGGAATTTCTGAGTAGTAGGTAGAGAATTCAAAGAAAATTCCTTTTCTTTTTTTTCTCTTCAGTGTTTGCCTTTACAAATATTAGCCTTTTGTAATTTTCTCAGAGCTTCCAATTACTAAGATTAAAGGTAATAAATTCAATGAGCCAGAGAAAGGTGAGTATCAAGCAAGTTTCTCAGAAACGTGGCCTTTTAAAAAGGAAATATTTTTACATGAATAGCGTTGGATACCAAATTAAATATGCAATATGATCTCATTTTCTCATTTTTGTTTATGTACATATATGATTATCTATCCCACCAAGAGTGGGATCATAGGTGATACTTTTTATTTGTTGTTGATTTGTATCTTCTTATTCTTCTATAATGAATATGTATTATGTATCAAAAAAGCAAAGAAATCATTATTTTAAAAACAAAACAAATGCTAAATATTGATCTTAGAATTAAACCCTGCAGCCGTTTTTTAATATTCACTATTCCCAAATTGTTTTCATATGATATTTGGAATCTTAAGAGAGTTATAAAATTAACTGACTTCTCGAATCACTTATTGATTCATGTGTGTATATGTGTGTGTGCACACACACTCAAGTCTGTTGTATTTTTGGCCTTTATTTCAAGCCCCACATCACCTTAGGCCAATTTGTATCATTTCCCTGGCCTTCTCAGCATTTGTGACATTTCTAATTCCATCTGCAGATTTAATTAACGTGCTGCTTATTCACTCTTCCACATCACTGATAACAAGAGACATAAAACTGGACACAGTGCTGACTGCTGCACCACCTAGATACCTCCCACCATCGGATGCCTCCTTCTGCTTTACCTAGTTTTCAAGTCAAGCTGATTGAAACTGATTTTGCAAGTAAAATTCACTCAGACATTGCATCAAATGATTTATGAAGTCCATGCAGCCGTGTGGTGTCCCATTAATCACAGACACTACAATAATCTATTTGTGTGCAGCAGTCCTCATAAATCGGAATAAAATAAATTCCACAAGCACATCTTCAGCTTTTGCAACAGGGCACATGGTATTATTCAGAGCATCATCCACATAATGCAATGTTAGCCGACTTGCAGATTCCTGAGCTTGGTCAAGCAAGTAAAAATATGCATTCATTTACCAATGCATGCCAAAGCTAAAAAAAATTACAGCTTGTTCATCTACCGGGTGAGAGAATTTCTTTAGGCCTCAGCTCTCAAATTTTTTATGAAAGCTGATGTGAATAAACAGAGCAAATGAGGTGCAATAATAAAAGCGGTGAGATGATGTTGTTAACAAATAGTCCAGAAATATACCTCCAAATAAATGTTGAGAATTTAAGTATCATTATCATTTGGAGACTCTTATTTCCATAATGCTATGAAACAATTTTGTAAATTCTCTTCTGAGACTGATCTTTCACATGACAAAAGAATGTCTTCAGACATGGCAAGTTCATTTCATTTGAGCGTATTTCATTTCTTGAAAACAATGCAAAATTATTGTGACCTGTGTCCAGTAAAGACTGTGAATGATTCACCTAGATAACAGTAATTTTTTAAAATGCAGAGTTTTTGTTTTTCCTAAGTATAAAGAGAAAATATACTATAAAATAAAGATTTAACAATATAAAAATACATTGAAGACAATAAAAATTGTGTAAAATCCTAACACACAAAGATAGTAACTCTTCATGTATTGGAGAATATCTTTACCGAACTGTGTCGATATTTGTCTGTTTTTGTGTAGATAGATATGGAGATGAATACAGATATAAATAAAATAATGTAAGATGAGATTCTACCATAATTATTATATTATCATCTGCGTTTTTAACATCAACAATATATTGCGGATATCTTTGCAAAACAATAAATATAGAACCACATCATCAATTTAATAACTATAATTTTCCATTACATAGACTTATTTAGTCAACACTCCGTTACTCAACATTTAGTTTATTTCCAAATTTTCAACTATAAACAACACTATGATGAACATCCTCACTCCTAGATATTTGTGCCCTTGACCTAGAGTGCAGTGGCACAATCATGGCTCACTGCAGCCTCAACCTCCCAGTCTCAAGCAATCTTCCCACCTCAGCTTTCTAAGTAGCTGGGACTACAAGCACATGTCACCACACCTGGCTAATTTTTTAATTTTCTGTAGAGATGGGGTCCTGCTGTGTTGCGCAGGCTGTTCTCGAGTTCCTGGCCTCAAGCCAAGGAGGCCTGCTTCCCGAAAGTACTGGGATTACCAGAGTGAGCCACTGTGCCAGGCCCTCATTATCTTCTTTGAAGAAGAGTTCTTAGAATCAGAAATTGTCTTAGAATATGTGTTCTGGGAAAAAGAATTTTTTTCTTGGAATTGTGATATCTAAATCAGGATATGTCCAGCTAATATTTTGATACATGTTTCCAAACTGCTTTCCAGAAAAAATGTACCAAGTTATATTACCACCAATAATTCATGAAAGTATTTATTGGCCCCATTCTTGCCAATCCTGGATATTGCTAGTCTTTAGAAATATTTGTCATTTGATAGATAAAAAGCATTTTCTCATTGTTTTAACTTGTGTGTCTTTGACTGTATTTGGTTAAACATCTTTTTATAAGTTCATGGGTGAATTATATTTCTTCTTTGAGAAGTTAACTATTCTTGTATATTTCCATGGGTTGGGCAATATTCATCAATTTTACTTATTTAAGAAACTATCTTTATACTAAGGTAATAGTGTTTCTCATCAAATCAAATATATGAACCTAACAAGTCTAATTTGTTTGTAGATTTGTAATTAGATAAGAGATCAGTTGCAAAAACACTTTGAGAAATGTCAACATTCTTAGAAAGGGTATACTTTTCCAAGGTGACAATGCTAGTGCTTTGAAAAGCAACATTCATCTGTTTATCTGATTCTTGTATATTTGTTTAAATAAAACATTATCATTCTTTAGGTTATATCAAGAGCTTGTGCTTTGGAATCAAACTGCCTATCTTCAAATCCTGAGCCTCCCACATATAATCTAGGTTATCTAAGACATATTATTTAACTACGCTGTGCCTAAGTTTCCACATCTTTAAAATGAAGATAATAATAGTCCCTCTTGCATAGAGTTGTTGGAGAATTAAATGAAAGGATGCACATAAAGCATGTAGAAAAGAGTTGGGAGCAATTCAAGTGCTCAGTAAATATTAAATTGGAATATTTTAGATTCATGATCTGTTCACATTTAGACCACCAAGTGTACTTTAAGGCACTTTCTTTCTTTTTATTTTATTTTGTTTGTTTGTTTGTTTATTTATTTATTTATTTATTTATTTATTTGAGGCAGAGTTTCGCTCTTGTTGCCCAGGCTGGAGTGCAATGGTGCCATCTCATCTCACTGCAACCTCTACCTCCCGGGTTCAAGTGATTCTCCTGCCTCAGCCTCCTGAGTAGTTGGGATTACAGACATGTGCCACCACACACAGCTAATTTTGTATTTTTAGTAGAGACAGGGTTTCACCTTGTTGGCCAGGCTGGTTTCGAACTCCTGACCTCAGGTGATCCACCCCCTTCAGCCTCCCAAAGTGCTGGGATTACAGGCGTGAATCGCTGCACCCAACCTAAGGCCCTTTTTTTTTTTTTTTTTTTTGAGACGGAGTCTCGCTGTCACCCAGGCTGGAGTGCAGTGGCGTGATCTCGGCTCACTGCAAGCTCCGCCTCCGGGGTTCACGCCATTCTCTTGCCTCAGCCTCCCGAGCAGCTGGGACTACAGGCGCTCGCCACCTTGCCCGGCTTATTTTTTGTATTCTCAGTAGAGACGGGGTTTCACCGTGTTAGCCAGGATGGTCTCGATCTCCTGACCTCGTGATCTGCCCGCCTCGGCCTCCCAAAGTGCTGGGATTACAGGCGTGAGCCACCGCGCCTGGTCCTAAGGCACTTTTAAAATGAGTGTTTTACTGCTCTACTTGCAGATAAGCTTCCCTGATGATATGCTTAGACTCCCACAATTTTATTTTAGGAACTTAAAAAAAAAAGTTTATAATGAGAAACAAACCAAAAGGAACTCTCCCTTTACTCCTTTGGTGGCTTTCAGAATGTAACAAGAAGAAAGATGTTTACATCTTTGCACAGTTCTTTTTTTTTTTTTTTTTTTTTTTTTTTTTTTATTATACTCTAAGTTTTAGGGTACATGTGCACATTGTGCAGGTTAGTTACATATGTATACATGTGCCATGCTGGTGCGCTGCACCCACTAATGTGTCATCTAGCATTAGGTATATCTCCCAATGCTATCCCTCCCCCCTCCCCCGACCCCACCACAGTCCCCAGAGTGTGATATTCCCCTTCCTGTGTCCATGTGATCTCATTGTTCAATTCCCACCTATGAGTGAGAATATGCGGTGTTTGGTTTTTTGTTCTTGCGATAGTTTACTGAGAATGATGGTTTCCAATTTCATCCATGTCCCTACAAAGGATATGAACTCATCATTTTTTATGGCTGCATAGTATTCCATGGTGTATATGTGCCACATTTTCTTAATCCAGTCTATCATTGTTGGACATTTGGGTTGGTTCCAAGTCTTTGCTATTGTGAATAGTGCCGCAATAAACATACGTGTGCATGTGTCTTTATAGCAGCATGATTTATACTCATTTGGGTATATACCCAGTAATGGGATGGCTGGGTCAAATGGTATTTCTAGTTCTAGATCCCTGAGGAATCGCCACACTGACTTCCACAATGGTTGAACTAGTTTACAGTCCCACCAACAGTGTAAAAGTGTTCCTATTTCTCCGCATCCTCTCCAGCACCTGTTGTTTCCTGACTTTTTAATGATTGCCATTCTAACTGGTGTGAGATGATATCTCATAGTGGTTTTGATTTGCATTTCTCTGATGGCCAGTGATGATGAGCATTTCTTCATGTGTTTTTTGGCTGCATAAATGTCTTCTTTTGAGAAGTGTCTGTTCATGTCCTTCACCCACTTTTTGATGGGGTTGTTTGTTTTTTTCTTGTAAATTTGTTTGAGTTCATTGTAGATTCTGGATATTAGCCCTTTGTCAGATGAGTAGGTTGCGAAAATTTTCTCCCATGTTGTAGGTTGCCTGTTCACTCTGATGGTAGTTTCTTTTGCTGTGCAGAAGCTCTTTAGTTTAATTAGATCCCATTTGTCAATTTTGTCTTTTGTTGCCATTGCTTTTGGTGTTTTGGACATGAAGTCCTTGCCCACGCCTATGTCCTGAATGGTAATGCCTAGGTTTTCTTCTAGGGTTTTTATGGTTTTAGGTTTAACGTTTAAATCTTTAATCCATCTTGAATTGATTTTTGTATAAGGTGTAAGGAAGGGATCCAGTTTCAGCTTTCTACATATGGCTAGCCAGTTTTCCCAGCACCATTTATTAAATAGGGAATCCTTTCCCCATTGCTTGTTTTTCTCAGGTTTGTCAAAGATCAGATAGTTGTAGATATGCGGCATTATTTCTGAGGGCTCTGTTCTGTTCCATTGATCTATATCTCTGTTTTGGTACCAGTACCATGCTGTTTTGGTTACTGTAGCCTTGTAGTATAGTTTGAAGTCAGGTAGTGTGATGCCTCCAGCTTTGTTCTTTTGGCTTAGGATTGACTTGGCAATGCGGGCTCTTTTTTGGTTCCATATGAACTTTAAAGTAGTTTTTTCCAATTCTGTGAAGAAAGTCATTGGTAGCTTGATGGGGATGGCATTGAATCTGTAAATTACCTTGGGCAGTATGGCCATTTTCACGATATTGATTCTTCCTACCCATGAGCATGGAATGTTCTTCCATTTGTTTGTGTCCTCTTTTATTTCCTTGAGCAGTGGTTTGTAGTTCTCCTTGAAGAGGTCCTTCACATCCCTTGTAAGTTGGATTCCTAGGTATTTTATTCTCTTTGAAGCAATTACGAATGGGAGTTCACCCATGATTTGGCTCTCTGTTTGTCTGTTGTTGGTGTATAAGAATGCTTGTGATTTTTGTACATTGATTTTGTATCCTGAGACTTTGCTGAAGTTGCTTATCAGCTTAAGGAGATTTTGGGCTGAGACGATGGGGTTTTCTAGATATACAATCATGTCGTCTGCAAACAGGGACAATTTGACTTCCTCTTTTCCTAATTGAATACCCTTTATTTCCTTCTCCTGCCTGATTGCCCTGGCCAGAACTTCCAACACTATGTTGAATAGGAGCGGTGAGAGAGGGCATCCCTGTCTTGTGCCGGTTTTCAAAGGGAATGCTTCCAGTTTTTGCCCATTCAGTATGATATTGGCTGTGGGTTTGTCATAGATAGCTCTTATTATTTTGAAATACGTCCCATCAATACCTAATTTATTGAGAGTTTTTAGCATGAAGGGTTGTTGAATTTTGTCAAAGGCTTTTTCTGCATCTATTGAGATAATCATGTGGTTTTTGTCTTTGGCTCTGTTTATATGCTGGATTACATTTATTGATTTGCGTATATTGAACCAGCCTTGCATCCCAGGGATGAAGCCCACTTGATCATGGTGGATAAGCTTTTTGATGTGCAACTGGATTCGGTTTGCCAGTATTTTATTGAGGATTTTTGCATCAATGTTCATCAAGGATATTGGTCTAAAATTCTCTTTTTTGGTTGTGTCTCTGCCCGGCTTTGGTATCAGAATGATGCTGGCCTCATAAAATGAGTTAGGGAGGATTCCCTCTTTTTCTATTGATTGGAATAGTTTCAGAAGGAATGGTACCAGTTCCTCCATGTACCTCTGGTAGAATTCGGCTGTGAATCCATCTGGTCCTGGACTCTTTTTGGTTGGTAAACTATTGATTATTGCCACAATTTCAGAGCCTGTTATTGGTCTATTCAGAGATTCAACTTCTTCCTGGTTTAGTCTTGGGAGAGTGTATGTGTCGAGGAATGTATCCATTTCTTCTAGATTTTCTAGTTTATTTGCGTAGAGGTGTTTGTAGTATTCTCTGATGGTAGTTTGTATTTCTGTGGGATCGGTGGTGATATCCCCTTTATCATTTTTTATTGTGTCTATTTGATTCTTCTCTCTTTTTTTCTTTATTAGTCTTGCTAGCGGTCTATCAATTTTGTTGATCCTTTCAAAAAACCAGCTCCTGGATTCATTGATTTTTTGAAGGGTTTTTTGTGTCTCTATTTCCTTCAGTTCTGCTCTGATTTTAGTTATTTCTTGCCTTCTGCTAGCTTTTGAATGTGTTTGCTCTTGCTTTTCTAGTTCTTTTAATTGTGATGTTAGGGTGTCAATTTTGGATCTTTCCTGCTTTCTCTTGTAGGCATTTAGTGCTATAAATTTCCCTCTACACACTGCTTTGAATGCGTCCCAGAGATTCTGGTATGTGGTGTCTTTGTTCTCGTTGGTTTCAAAGAACATCTTTATTTCTGCCTTCATTTCGTTATGTACCCAGTAGTCATTCAGGAGCAGGTTGTTCAGTTTCCATGTAGTTGAGCGGCTTTGAGTGAGATTCTTAATCCTGAGTTCTAGTTTGATTGCACTGTGGTCTGAGAGATAGTTTGTTATAATTTCTGTTCTTTTACATTTGCTGAGGAGAGCTTTACTTCCAACTATGTGGTCAATTTTGGAATAGGTGTGGTGTGGTGCTGAAAAAAAGGTATATTCTGTTGATTTGGGGTGGAGAGTTCTGTAGATGTCTATTAGGTCTGCTTGGTGCAGAGCTGAGTTCAATTCCTGGGTATCCTTGTTGACTTTCTGTCTCGTTGATCTGTCTAATGTTGACAGTGGGGTGTTAAAGTCTCCCATTATTAATGTGTGGGAGTCTAAGTCTCTTTGTAGGTCACTCAGGACTTGCTTTATGAATCTGGGTGCTCCTGTATTGGGTGCATAAATATTTAGGATAGTTAGCTCCTCTTGTTGAATTGATCCCTTTACCATTATGTAATGGCCTTCTTTGTCTCTTTTGATCTTTGTTGGTTTAAAGTCTGTTTTATCAGAGACTAGGATTGCAACCCCTGCCTTTTTTTGTTTTCCATTGGCTTGGTAGATCTTCCTCCATCCTTTTATTTTGAGCCTATGTGTGTCTCTGCACGTGAGATGGGTTTCCTGAATACAGCACACTGATGGGTCTTGACTCTTTATCCAACTTGCCAGTCTGTGTCTTTTAATTGCAGAATTTAGTCCATTTATATTTAAAGTTAATATTGTTATGTGTGAATTTGATCCTGTCATTATGATGTTAGCTGGTGATTTTGCTCATTAGTTGATGCAGTTTCTTCCTAGTCTCAATGGTCTTTACATTTTGGCATGATTTTGCAGCGGCTGGTACCGGTTGTTCCTTTCCATGTTTAGCGCTTCCTTCAGGAGCTCTTTTAGGGCAGGCCTGGTGGTGACAAAATCTCTCAACATTTGCTTGTCTATAAAGTATTTTATTTCTCCTTCACTTATGAAGCTTAGTTTGGCTGGATATGAAATTCTGGGTTGAAAATTATTTTCTTTAAGAATGTTGAATATTGGCCCCCACTCTCTTCTGGCTTGTAGGGTTTCTGCCGAGAGATCCACTGTTAGTCTGATGGGCTTTCCTTTGAGGGTAACCCGACCTTTCTCTCTGGCTGCCCTTAACATTTTTTCCTTCATTTCAACTTTGGTGAATCTGACAATTATGTGTCTTGGAGTTGCTCTTCTCGAGGAGTATCTTTGTGGCGTTCTCTGTATTTCCTGAATCTGAACGTTGGCCTGCCTTGCTAGATTGGGGAAGTTCTCCTGGATAATATCCTGCAGAGTGTTTTCCAACTTGGTTCCATTCTCCACATCACTTTCAGGTACACCAATCAGACGTAGATTTGGTCTTTTCACATAGTCCCATATTTCTTGGAGGCTTTGCTCATTTCTTTTTATTCTTTTTTCTCTAAACTTCCCTTCTCGCTTCATTTCATTCATTTCATCTTCCATTGCTGATACCCTTTCTTCCAGTTGATCGCATCGGCTCCTGAGGCTTCTGCATTCTTCACGTAGTTCTCGAGCCTTGGTTTTCAGCTCCATCAGCTCCTTTAAGCACTTCTCTGTATTGGTTATTCTAGTTATACATTCTTCTAAATTTTTTTCAAAGTTTTCAACTTCTTTGCCTTTGGTTTGAATGTCCTCCCGTAGCTCAGAGTAATTTGATCGTCTGAAGCCTTCTTCTCTCAGCTCGTCAAAATCATTCTCCATCCAGCTTTGTTCTGTTGCTGGTGAGGAACTGCGTTCCTTTGGAGGAGGAGAGGCGCTCTGCGTTTTAGAGTTTCCAGTTTTTCTGTTCTGTTTTTTCCCCATCTTTGTGGTTTTATCTACTTTTGGTCTTTGATGATGGTGATGTACAGATGGGTTTTCGGTGTAGATGTCCTTTCTGGTTGTTAGTTTTCCTTCTAACAGACAGGACCCTCAGCTGCAGGTCTGTTGGAATACCCTGCCGTGTGAGGTGTCAGTGTGCCCCTGCTGGGGGGTGCCTCCCAGTTAGGCTGCTCGGGGGTCAGGAGTCAGGGACCCACTTGAGGAGGCAGTCTGTCTGCCCGTTCTCAGATCTCCAGCTGCGTGCTGGGAGAACCACTGCTCTCTTCAAAGCTGTCAGACAGGGACACTTAAGTCTGCAGAGGTTACTGCTGTCTTTTTGTTTGTCTGTGCCCTGCCCCCAGAGGTGGAGCCTACAGAGGCAGGCAGGCCTCCTTGAGCTGTGGTGGGCTCCACCCAGTTCGAGCTTCCCGGCTGCTTTGTTTACCTAAGCAAGCCTGGGCAATGGCGGGCGCCCCTCCCCCAGCCTCGTTGCCGCCTTGCAGTTTGATCTCAGACTGCTGTGCTAGCAATCAGCGAGATTCCGTGGGCGTAGGACCCTCCGAGCCAGGTGTGGGATATAGTCTCGTGGTGCGCCGTTTCTTAAGCCGGTCTGAAAAGCGCAATATTCGGGTGGGAGTGACCCGATTTTCCAGGTGCGACCGTCACCCCTTTCTTTGACTCAGAAAGGGAACTCCCTGACCCCTTGCGCTTCCCAGGTGAGGCAATGCCTCGCCCTGCTTCGGCTCGCGCACGGTGCGCACACACACTGGCCTGCGCCCACTGTCTGGCACTCCCTAGTGAGATGAACCCGGTACCTCAGATGGAAATGCAGAAATCACCGTCTTCTGCGTCGCTCACGCTGGGAGCTGTAGACCGGAGCTGTTCCTATTCGGCCATCTTGGCTCCTCCCCAAGAAATAGTTCTCTGCACAGTTCTTTTTTTAAATTTTTATTTTTTTTATAATTTCAACTTTTATTTTAGATTCAGGGGGTACATGTGCAGGTTTGTTACAAGGATATATTGCATTTGCACAGTTCTGACACTGACAAATGCAGTATCTGCATCACCTAGACAGGTTTTAGATAGCTGAGGAACAGGACAATGATGAAATCAATTTATCACTTTAGGCCAGTTTGTCTCATTTCCCCGGCCATTTCAGCATTTAAGAAGACAAGGAGATGGGAAAGACCTAGAAGCTCTATTGGTCAGTAGGCCTTAGGTGAACTCATGGTTCTGAATAAGGTAAATGGCCACCACCCAAAGCAGCAAGTAAGGACATGGAAGTACCATACAACCTAGCAGGATGTTCTAATGTGGAATACGATAAACAGACCAGATTCAGTGTACAATGAGTTGGTTCTAGATTGAGAGCACTACCGTGCCACAGTGAGGCACGAAGTCACCGAGTCCCAGATCTGAATCCTAACCCAGGCGCATGCATTATGTCCTCAGAATATTTATGTAATTTCTGTGAAGCTTTTTTTCACAGTTCCCCATCTGTAAAAATCTGTCTGGTCACACCTTATGATGAGATTACTATGAGAGTTAAAAGAGAAGAGATATCCAAAGCATTTAGCATACAGTCAGTTTCATGTGCTCAATTAATGGTTGCTAGGAAGCAGAGGAGACAGTAAAAATATTTAAGAACTAAAATGCATGAGCACTGATTAATCAGAACGGATGCCTGACCAATGAGGTCAATTAGAAAGGATTCCCGGTGAATAAAAAAGTTGGCCCAACCAATAAGAAGGACCACAGCCCTGCATACCCTACTGGCACATACTATTTCTTAGAGAAAAGAAGGGGTTTTCATATTGACTAAGGATGCCAGAATTTGGGGCACAGAGAAAAAAGTAAATATCCAATAGAGCTACACCTGGCATGCCACATACAAAATCAGATGAAGGTAAAAAATAGTACTATGGCAGAGTTCTGTATTCTAGAGACTGCTACTCTGGTACCAGGCAAAGTGCCTCAAGGTAGGATGATAGTGTCTGGTGCACAGAAAGACAGGTGGTGCCCATCAGAAACTCAAGCACTAGGCAGGGCGCAGTGGCTCACACCTATAATCCCAGCACTTTGGGAGGCTGAGGTAGGCCGATTGCTTGAGCTCAGGAGTTCGAGACCAGCCTGGTCAACATGGTGAAACCCCACCTCTACAAAAAAATAGAAAAATTAGCCAGGCATGGCGGCACATGCTTGTAGTACCAGCTACTCAGGGGGCTAAGGTGGGAGGATCACCTGAGCCCTGTTGAGAGAAAGAGAGGAAAGAAAAGGAAGGAAGGGAAGGGAAGGAGGGAATGAGAGAGGGAGGGAGGGAGGGAGGAAGGAAGGAAGGAAGGAAGAAAGAATACGGAAGAGAGGAAAGGAAGGAAGAATGAAAGGAAGGATAAAAGGAAAGGAAAGGAGAGGGGAGCGGAGGGGAGGGAGGGGAGAAGGGAGGGGAGGGGAGAAGGAAAAGGTAAGGTAGGCACCAAATGCCCAGGCCACAGAGCCCTATCCCAGACACCATCATCTAATCAGCAGATGTTAGAATGCACACAACCCGGTGTCCAGGCAAAAGTAATAATGAGATAGTAAAAAGAGACGAGAACTGGTAACAAATTTATTAACTTTAAATAGTGGCAATTGGAGGTAGAGGATACTTTTGTACTGTCTGCTCAAGACTAGAACTGGAGTCTGAGCTAATCCAGAGATAGATAAACAGGTAACCCGCTGATACACAGGATGGTGGAGGAGGGTTTCAAACTATTCCAAACTACATCTGCTGCTAAGAGTCAGCATATTTAAAGTCACCAGCACCCCAAGATTTCATTTTCCTCATCTGCAAAATGAAAGAGTTGGATCTGGGTATATCTGAAGGCTTTTCCAATGCTTTTAAACTTTTTGTATTTCTTAGAAGAAATCTCAGAGAAAAGAGCAGGCACCCTTGGATACAGTACTAAAAGTAGTCCTTCTTAGTACAAAGGGCTTGTACTTTCATCCAAAATTTCGATACCTAATAGATATTAAATAATACTATATTTTATACTTAGGTTATTCACCTGAGAAACATGGTTTTAGTGAAAAGCTAGGAGCTTTTTTCAGGTTCTAGCTGTTCAGCAAAGCAAAGTAAATAACAAAATGGAAAACGAAAGGTAGATTTAATCCATTAAACTCAGAAGCTCCTAATCTATTTTGGAATTTTTAAATCTATCAATGCATACTTGGTTTTACACCACTGCTCATTATCCCACAGCTATGCTATTTGATAAGTCTCTCAATGGTTTCCTTGTTTCCACTCGTTGTTCTTCTGTTACTCTACTGCCATAATTTCAATTTTCTATTAAAAATGCCACCATTTGTAAGCAAAAATGTTACTTTATACGCTACCGAGAAAGAAAACTAACACTGTCAAACTATAATATGCCATTAAATGTAGGTAGGATGCATCTTACTTATAGAACTGTTAAAATATTTTAAAAGTATGTCTTAAAATCAGTGCAGTATGGTATCTTTACAAATGGGAATCTGATGATGTCACTTGTCTCTAAAAGTTCCACTTGTCTCTGAAACCCTATAGGATGAAGTCTAAACTCTGCTGCAGATTTTGGGTCTTCATCATCCAACCCAATATTACCATCCTCTCTCCTAACATTTACCACTGAGCAACCAGTTGCCTCAAAGTTAATTTTTCCTTCCATTGCAAAAGTCTATGTTCTCTTTCTTATTTCAACATTTATTGAATTCATACTATGTTCCAAACTCTATTTTAGGCACTTCACTGTTTTTGTTTTGTTTGTTTGTTTTTGGTTTTGTTTTTTGGCTTGGAATCTCTTCCTCTTCCTCCCCTACCCTATACACCTGGTAAATATCTATTTTTCCTTCAAGATCCAATCCAACTATCTTTTCTTTTGTAAAAGGGAATTTTGTGAAACTCCCCAGTTTCCTCATGTAGACCTGATTTGGTAAACTTCTACTGCACTATGTTGAAAATGTTGATTTACCAATTGCCCACACTAGATAGTAGGTCCTTTGAGTGCAAGGAAAGTGACATTTATTTTTGCAATCAGTCTAGTGATTAGGAAAGTAGGATTCAGTTTCCTGGCTTCAGAGTTCCTGTCCTGCCCAATAAGAAATCATGCACCCTAAGTGGGGAGACAGGTAAGTAACACGACAGGATAACTGCAGACTGCCAAGGGAGCATAGTGATTACGAAGTGAAGTCCTTGGCTTTGATTCTCACACAGACTAGAAATACCCCTATATTTTAGAACCAGACTAGAGCCCATCTCACAAACTTTTTGAAAGTAGCAAACATTCAGTGAATAGCTAACCCTATTACAATTTTTAAAAAGTCAATCATAAGAAATGCTAGGAGAATTATTGAGCATCTATTATATGCTCAGAATCCTTTAGGTACGTATTTCCTAAGTGACTGGTGAGAGAAAGGAAATTCAAACAAATAAGATATTCAAACTCACAGAGACAGTGACAAACACTGTCAGAATTTGATCCTGGGTCAACTTGATTTCCAAGAGTTTTTTCTTTCTATTAGAGCACTTCGCAGCACGATGCCTCATCATCATTGAGGACATTCCTAATTTAATCAATTGCTTGTCAAGGAAAAATAGAAAAATCCTGTTCTTCAAACACTTGTGATTGGCATTGCTGGTTAGCTTTTCTTCCTGGCAAAATCTAAATGGGAAACATGACATGGTCTTTGGCAATAATCAGCTGATGTTGGAAACACTCTTGGAATCTATTTCTTATAGTTTTTTTCTGCATGGTTTCATGCCTTATGAGCTCAATGTTCCATTTTTTCTGGCTAATCTCAAACCAGTAGTCATTTACCCAGTCATAGTTCATTGGCAACTAGCTTTTAGGCAATGAACTTGATTTGTTTTATGAACTTTAGTTTGAGGTTGAAAAAGTTGGTGAAGTATAACAAATATAACCAATAAGATGATCAAGACACATTAAGCTACCAACAATAATGATAAGGAATATGGATATGATAACCTTAGAACCTGATATCAAAATATCAAAATATTCTTTAAGTTTAAATGATAATAGGAAGTGGTACTGATTTTATAGTTCATAATAACCCTGTGGATATGAAGGACTTGTGAAAGGGAGAAAATGTGGGTTTGAAGAGTCTCATTCTCTTTTGAGCTTATAGGATCTTGGTTACTACAATAAAGTCATGAGCAGAGATGGTCTGAGAGTGTGAAAGTTCAGGAATTAAAACCCACTGGGTAGCATAATAGAAATGGCCATTCTCCCAACTGAGTAAGGTGAAAGGTTTTTATATTATTTAATTTCTATTAATCAGTACTAATAAAATGCTAAGGCCTACTTGGAATATTATGATACTGAAAATAATTTAAATGCCAGGATTGGTAACCTAATCTTTACACGTTCATTACATAGTCAACAAACAAATGCAGGTGAGTTGTAAGTACGTGTCAAATTGCATTTCTTTTCTGAGAACATGAATAAATGTTTAATGTTACTTCTTTTTTTATTTTTTTGTGACAGAGTCTCGCTCTGTCACCCAGGCTGGAGTACAATGGCACGATCTCTACTGCTCACTACAACCTCCACTTCCCAGGTTCAAGAGATTCTCCCACCTCAGCCTCCGGAGTAGCTGGAATTACAGGTGTGCACCACCATGTCCGGCTAATTTTTGTACTTTTAGTAGAGATGGGGTTTCACCATATTGGCCAGGACTGGTCTCAAACTCCTGACCTCAAGTGATCCGCCCACCTCGACCTCCCAAAGTGTTGGGATTATAGGCGTGAACTACCATGCCCGGCCAATGTTATTTCTATTTAAGTCAAAATTGTGTGAGGGGAGGCTAATTGCTATAACAAGCCCCAAATCTCAGTGACTTATCACAGTAAATATTCATTTGTCACTCAAATCAGAGACCACTGAAATTGAATGAGGTATGTGTATGTATGTGAGAGGTCTGCTTCATGCAGTCACTCAAGGACCCAGGATCCATCCACCTAGTGGTTCTAGACTCTTCTAGTGCTTCAGAGTCCTCTATGCAGAGCCCTGCCATCCCCCAGCAGAATGGGAATAAGATAATATGCCGGATTGTGGAGAGGGTCCTGAGGCCAGCCCTGGAAAAGATCCTCATCACTTCCATCCACATTTCATGGCTCCAGCTCACTGCAAGAAAGCTGGTAAGTGTCTTCTAGCTGTGTGTCAGAAATGAAGAGAAGGAACAGAGATACTGGTGAGCACCACCATTTCCCACCTGAAAATAGGTAATGAATTTTCATTTGAATGACACAGCAGTTGCATGATACATAGGACGTGAGCACAAAATATCAGTATTCTAAAGAACATCATAATACCAGGATTTACATTCAAATGAGTGATGTCCATTTGCCAGCAGTTACCTGGAAAAGCTGTCTGCTTTTTCCATGGATACCATTAATGCCTACTTTTATTTAAAAACTCTTCTTTTGCTATTTTCTCTAGAACATGTTTTGGTTCTGTATAATACTCTCAACAATGGTAAATCTTCCTTTGAGGGTGAATTTGATAAAGATTATAAGAAGTAAATTAGAGCCAGTTTGGTGAATGAAGATAATCTGCTTCACTTATTATACGTTGGGTCAGATAGGACAAACAATGTGTCTTATTTCTCAAGGGACTACACAAGGCAATTCCAAAACAAACATTACACAAATGTGTATGTCAATGATGTCATTGTTGAAATAAATTGACCTGTATTTCTTAACACAGATGCCACACAGATTTGGGGAAGAATTTCTACAATTTGGATGTATGACTCTTCAGGTTATTGAAAGCACATAGTAGAATAGGCAGTGGGGTAGAAAGAGAAGACAGAGAGGTGGGTAGCATTGCAACAGATGGAAATTCCTCCTCTTCACTATAATGCATGACCGGGTCCTCTCTTCTCATTTTCTTATACTTGTTTTTTCCAGCTTTCCAAAAAATGTCTGTAAGCGCAGGATAAATTTCCTTAACCTGTGGAGGGTCTCGATAATTTATTCCCTTTTATTAGTTCAGTTTTATAAAAAACACTCCTTCCTGGGAGAAATTTTTAATTGAGTACATAACACTTTCTTTAAAAACCACACAGCAAATAATTTGCCAGGTTACATGATTTGGCAATTTGTAAGGTTAAAACATTTGGTGATCCACAGCTAAACTCTCCTAATGTTGAACATTTTAAAGGATGGAATGAAATAATAAATGTGAAAGGAATTTTTTATGTTAAAAAAAATTTTAAAGCTTTACAATGTAAGGTGCTTTTAAAGCAAGAAGAAATGGTTTTTAACCTGAAGGGCCTCTACACTGGAGAGATGGGAACTTGTATTAAGTGTTTGAGGAAATTTGCGTGAATAAGTTTCTGGAAGGCAATCTGGCCATGCATGTCAAAGTGGGCATAACTTTTGACCCACAAACAATAATTTCACTTTAGGTATTTGCCAAGGAAAATAATTGGACAAGTGTTTGAAGATTTGGCTTAAAGGAAATATATTGCAGCTTTGTTTATAATAGTGAAAATGTAAAGCACACAAAACCCCTAAACTTATGTTAATATGGAATCAGTTAAATATAATGCAATATGTACATTCAGTGGAATAACAATCAATGGTAAAAAGGATGCAGTTATTGATTCTAAAGATCAATATGCCATGTATATGTGAAAGTTAAAGCCAATTTTGAGGTAGATACATATCCCATTTTATATTTTATACTGTATGGGGAAAATAAACCTTCAAGGATGTGTCACAAATGTTATCAGTGGTTTTATCTCACCTGAGATAAAACCATTATAGGTGATGTTTTTCTTTCTTCTTTTTTTCTTTTTTACTTGTCTGTCTTTTCTCTTTTTTCCCCCAGTGAGCATGTATTTGTTAAAAAACATACATTAGAAGTAATATTGCATAGAGTGGATTCTGTCCCCATACTGCCTAGGTTTGAATTCCAATTTTTCCTTTACTGGAAAAGTAAGAGACAGTGTGTCACTCTGTCACCCAGCCTGGAAGGCAGTGGTGTAATTTCGGCTCACCTCAGCCTCAACTTCACAAGCTCATGCAATCCTGCCACCTTAGCCTCCTGAATACAGGCACATCCCACCATGCCTGGCTAGTTCATTATTATTATTATTTTGTAGATATGGGTTCTCCTTATGTTGCCTAAGCTGGTCTCAAACTCCTGGGCTCCAGCGATCCACCCAGTTTGGCCTCCCAAAGTGCTGAGATTGCAGGCATGAGCCACCGCACCCACCCCAATTTTTCCTTTTAAATAGGTGTAAATGTACCTGTAAAATGCAGTACCTACCTCATCAGCTTTTATGGAGGATTAAATGTGGTAATATTGTAAGGTAATTAAAAAATATGCACATGGCAAACGTTACATAAATATTTGTTATTCAGTAGTTAGGAAAGCAATGATCTTATTTCCATTTTGAGAAAACGCTGATCAGTATTTAAACTTCTCAAAGAAGACAAGATATTGTCATAGATGTTAGCAATTTTAAATGAGGTCCACAAAAAACAACAAAACTGAAAAGAAAAGCAGCTCACCATTACCCAACTTACTGAATTGAGGTAGTTAAACACACAGGCCCTTAAGGCAGAATAGGACTGAGTTCTAAGCTTAATATCCATACACATAGCTCTGAGACCTTGACAAGCCACACAACCTCCTATAACTCAGATTCCTCACCTGTAAAAAATGAAGACAACGTAAGGCACTAGAGATAATAGAAACCATTGGTCTTACAGCGCTCTTCCGTAGATTACTTAAAATAACCTATATGAAGCACTTAGCATGTTGACTAGCAATTAATAAGATCTTTATTAGTGTCAGCTATTACTATTATCATTACCAATTACTGCTCTTTAAAATAAGTCAGAGACCAAAATGAGTCTGAGAAAATATCACAGAGGCTAAAACCCCAAGATGAGACAGACTGTCAAAACAAGGCCAACAGAAGATCCTAAGAAAGAAAAAAAAAAAAGCAAATATCTGATCCAGCAGATGTTGCACAGCAATGGATGCTAAGATAACAGAGAGCAGGGATTCCAGCTCAAGCATAAAACTTGAGGAGACACTCAATTAGAAGGACTCTAAAAATAACAATAGAAAAGGAGAGCAATCATTTTATCCACACGATACCCTGTATGGTTGGTATTCTTGTCTCTGTTTTACAGAGAAGACAGATTCAGAAAGGATAAATACCTTGTTTAAACTTGTACACAGAGAGAGAGAGAGAGAGAGAGAGAGAGAGTGTGTGTGTGTGTGTGTGTGTGTCAGGATCCTAGGCCAAACATCAAAGAGAACCTGTGTTCTGTGCAGATGTCTTGTAAACCTTGTGGTAGTTCTGCAGCAGCTATCATTCACAGGCAGAGTAAATAAGAACCCACTTAGCAAAAATAAGGTATTACGTGGTGATAATAGAGTTCAATTTCAGATTAAGAGTCCAACATCCAGATGGTTGAGCCTCCAAACTAGGGTCTGTCTATATCACTGCAGTGCCAAGCCTAGATTAAGTGAGAACCCATATATAGGTGATCCCAGCTGAGGAGACCAGAGAGATGGCCTAAGAGGGTAAAACGGGCCAGACCTGCTACCCTGGTTTATTCGTACCACTTTCTAATATGTATGCAACGTTTTCATAACACAATGAGGTTTCTTCTCTTGTGCAACTCAATTCCAAGAGTATGTGAGTCAAACTCAAAGGCAACTTCTACATTCTTCTTTTCATTTCAGGAAGAGAAAATACAAAGTGCAACTCAATTCCAAGAGTATGTGAGCCAAACTCAAAGGCAACTTCTACATTTTTCTTTTCATTTCAGGAAGAGAAAATACAGAGTGTGACTATAGGTGGACTAGACACTGTATCGGAAAGGCGGGGTCTAATACTAACATTCTGTCTATTGCCCTCTCATTTCCACTTTCTGCTTAGGCCAACAAATGGGCACTTTGATTTTCGACATTTTCAACAATTTATTAATCCCCAGGATGGCCAATAGAGGGCAGACGATCTCTTCTTCTAGACCTCCATCAGAAATACTTCGTAATTCCTGGTTCGTTGCAGACCTGTTCCCCAACCCCTCCCCCACCCCCCCACCACCCCCACCCCAAACTTCGATGACTCCCTCCTGCCCATACCATCCCTTTCAAGTACTGATTTTGAGGTATTTACTAAAACCAAGAGAGAAGGGCTGCAGACAATAATATTCAAATATCATTTTGACTGTAATTCTTCACTCTCCCTTTTTCAACTCATTCATGCATGCATTTTTATAAATCCTGCCCTCTCCAATAAGCTGACAAGCTAATTGGGTTCAGAGTTATTTAAATAACTATAATGTAACATGATAAATGCTACAAGCAGAGGTACTTACAAATGCTGTAGAACAGATAAAGAAGCTCAAGAAGGCTTCTCAGAAAGGGAGGCCTTTCATGTGTGGCTCTAATTCTTAACATTCGTTCATGACTTTCAGGGTCCATTCAATTTCAGGGTAATTCTTCCTAGTCCACTTTCACCCGTGACACCTGATTGTCATCATGTTGGGCTCACCCAAACTCTTTCTGTAACCATAGTCTGGTCTTTGAAGATAAGAAAATACTTTTGTATTCGAGCCTCAGTATCATTGCCTCAGCTTCTCACTACCTCATTATCATCCCTCCTGGATCCCAGAGAAGAAAGAGCTGTTTCATAACTGAGCTCCTGATTCACACACTGGTTTCAGAAAAGCTGCCAGGACCTTGCAGGTTTCTCATTCGCCACTAGTCACTGGCTTCAAGGAATCCTATTTTCTCTATTGCTTCTATGACTATTAATTTTATGCCAAAGGGCATGTGTAATGTAACTTGATTTTTTTTTTCTTTTTGAGCTGATACAATCATCTTCATCTTAAAGAATCTCCCTAGTCCTTTCTAAACCTGACTTGAATTCCTGTGAGAAGTCAACCTTTCTCATGTTGTATCTGTCCATCTACCTTCCAGGTGGTTCTACTTCTGAAGTCCCAGGAACAATGAATAGTCATCTCCAAATTATCCTTTGCCTGTGCTCATCTGTAGCTTTCCTTAATCCTTAATATATCCCCTTAAAAATAAATAGAAGCTAAACTTTGACAATGCTTATTACCTCCTTCTTTCCTAACCACAGTAGCTTTCTCACTTCTGCCTTTTTCTCATCACCTGACCTTGGCTTTTCCTGCAGGTCCTACAATGTTATCTGCTACATTTTAATGTCTTTATACTTGCATTTGAACAGAAATACAGATAACCTCCTCTGCAAGAGTGGGAGGGACCTTTTAACACAGAGCAATGATGACAGTTTGTTGGCAAATCCCACACTGAAGTGCTGGTGCCTTGTTCGGTGACAAGAAAGAACAATGTTTAACAATGTGTGTTTTATTTTTCTTCAGTTTTTTTGTTTGTTTGTTTTTGAGACAGAGTCTTGCTCTGTCGCCCAGGCTGGAGTGCAATGACGCAATCTCGGCTCACTGCAACCTTCACCTCCTGGGTTCAAGTGATTCTCCTGCCTCAGCCTCCTGAGTAGCTGGGATTACAGGCATGCGCTACCACACCCGGCTAATTTTTGTATTTTTGATAGAGACAGGGTTTCACCATGTTTCACCATGTTGGCCAGGCTGGTCTCGAATTCCTTACCTCAAGTGATCTGCCCACCTTGGCCTCCCAAAGTGCTGGGATTATAGGCATGAGCCACCACGCCCAGTCTCTTCGGTTTTTCTAATAGAAAACCTAGCATATTTTAAACGATTTTGCCACTTAACACTTATTATGGACCCACAGGGTATGAGGGCCTTTGGAGATCATCTAATCGGACTTCCCACCCAACTACAGGAATCATTTCATTGCAACAACTCTTTAAACCCGTCTAGAAAATGCAATGCTCTCTCCCCTTTTCCACGGTTGAACATCTTCCTCATGGCCCTATAATAATCAATGATAATTAATGAGCCTCTTCCTCTCCTTGGACAAAGAAATATGATAGGAGAAATGTTTAGTTTGCTGATGCCCATCATGGGGGAATAGTCCACTGGTAACTCTGGCTTTTGGGTTCAGGATTAGACAGAGTGGTTAAACTAAAATATTTATCGTAAGTATGAATTTGTTCCACAAACATAACATTTCAAAGGTAGCTTTGTTTCCTCTTTCCTTGCACTGCCAGCTATTAACTTTCGGTTCATTAGTCACGATTTTCAGAATCCACTTGGCTGCCACCTTCCTGCAGCCAGACCATCTTGGATCAGAGGGTGGGCCAGCCATTCCCACGTCACACCTGCCACGGGATCGATTTTTTCCCCCATTGACCACAGTCACTTTTTGTCAATTAATTAATGTTATTCACCTGGTACCCATCTTGTGAATGGTAGGTCACTACGGAGCGGATTACTACTTCATATCCCATCAATGACAGAGCCATCATTACGAAAACCTTTTCTGACAACCACTGAAGAGAAACCATCTCCACACCGTGCATTTTGCATCACTTCCGTTGCTTCTTTACCTGATTTATCACAAAGACTATGTACCACACATCTTCTTTATTAATGCATTGACAATCAGTGAAGACAATGAAAACCCACCACTTTTGTCCGTGAACTGAGAAAGAAAATGGCAATGTCATATGGCATTAATGATGCATGAGATCTATGGGTGTAGTGTCACGTCTAGGCGTGTAGTAATCCAGTCTTCGGCCTTACTCCAGGGAGAAAGATTCAGCTTTGTTACTTTCCAGTCACTCTCTCCCGTAACACAGCACCTTGGCACAGAAAGCAGAGCGACAAAACCCAGAATGAGGACAGTTAAAATTCAACTCAAGCTACAGCCATCCCAACGGTCCTCCCCAGCTCCCGCGGAATATTTACCAAGACCGTTTAAAGCACTTAATTAATTCACTTCAGCTTCGCTGGAGAGGTCTCAGGGTTCCCGAGACTCCATTACATAATATCTTTCACAAAGTCTATTCCCAGCTCGAATGGAAGATGGATTCTCATCCAGTGTGCGGAGGTTCCATGCCTTTGCTTCCCTTTCCCGGAGTTCGATCCGGCGATACCCTCCCGAGGCTGCAGCCATCGCCCCGGCCCCGAGCTTCTGGGGTACCCGCCACTCTTCGAACTCCAATCTGGCCCCGAAGGTGCAGCCGCCTCGCCCTCCTGGCTCCCAGGCCGGCCGCTGCGGCCACGGTGCCAGCGAGCGCCCGGGACACCGCGACTCTCGCTGCTCGCTGGGTGCGCCCCAAGCCCATCCGCAGCGCACCCGCGGCGCCGGGGCCAGAGCCGCAGCTCGGTGGCACGGCCGGCTCGGTGCGCCGGGCTCGGGGAGGAGGAGATCGGGAAGAGGTGGAGGCGTGTGAGGGAGGGAGGAAGGGCCCGGCCGCCCGAGAGGGGGAGGGGGAGGCGGAGGGGGCCGGCCGGGCCGGGGAGGGGGGGCAGCCAATGAGCGGCGCGCGGCGCGTGGGGGTGGGGGGAAGGTCTGGGGGAGGAGGTAGGATGGGGGAGGGCGCAGCCCGAGCGGCTGAGGCTCCAGCCATAAACAAGCGCCCGGAGGAGCGGCGCAGGAGTGAGGCGAGCGGGGCGCGCGGAGCGGACGCCGCGGATCTTGTGCTGCGCCACCGCGCCCACTCGGCAGCTCGGGAGGCGGGGACCGGCCCGGAGGCTGCGCCGCTGCGGGGCCGGCCGACTCGGAGGAGGAGAGGGAGGAGGCGCCGCCGGCCCGGGCTGGAGCCGAGCGCAGCAGCCACCGCCGCCGCCGCGCCAGAAGTTTGGGTTGAACCGGAGCTGCCGGGAGGAAACTTTTTTCTTTTTTCCCCCTCCCTCCCGGGAGGAGGAGGAGGAGGAGGAGGGGAAGCTGCCGCCGGCGCCAAGGCTCGTGGGCTCGGGGTCGGCGCGGCCCGCAGAAGGGGCGGGGGCCTCGCCCCGCGAGGGGAGGCGCGCCCCGGGGGCCCCGAGAGGGGCGGTGAGGACCGCGGGCTGCTGGTGCGGCGGCGGCGGCGCGTGTGCCCCGCGCAGGGGAGGGCGCCCGCCCCGCTCCCGGCCCGGCTGCGAGGAGGAGGCGGCGGCGGCGCAGGAGGATGTACTTGGTGGCGGGGGACAGGGGGTTGGCCGGCTGCGGGCACCTCCTGGTCTCGCTGCTGGGGCTGCTGCTGCTGCTGGCGCGCTCCGGCACCCGGGCGCTGGTCTGCCTGCCCTGTGACGAGTCCAAGTGCGAGGAGCCCAGGAACTGCCCGGGGAGCATCGTGCAGGGCGTCTGCGGCTGCTGCTACACGTGCGCCAGCCAGAGGAACGAGAGCTGCGGCGGCACCTTCGGGATTTACGGAACCTGCGACCGGGGGCTGCGTTGTGTCATCCGCCCCCCGCTCAATGGCGACTCCCTCACCGAGTACGAAGCGGGCGTTTGCGAAGGTACGGCCGCCCGCTGCGGGCCCCCTCCCACCTGGCCTGCGCCGCCCCCTCGGCGCTGGTTGTGCCGAACAAAGTTTGGGCGAGACTTTCTGGAGGAAAGAGGGCTCTGCGGGAAGAGGGGCGGCCGCCGCCCCCAGGAGAGTGCCCCCGCGGCCCTGCGTTCCCTCTCCTTGTTCCCCCCGACGCTTAGGCAGTCGCGGGCGAGGTTGGGTATGGTGGGTGGGGGCGAGCGAGTGGAGGATCGCCCCTGTCCCCGCGCAGACGCGCACACGTGTGGCCGTTCCTGCTGGGACTGGGTGGCCCGGCCTTGCTCCCCGAGGTGGGGGCGCCGCGGGCGGGGGGCACTGCAGATTCTGCCGCGCGCGAGCCCCTCGGGGAGCCCGGCCCTACCGCCCTCCCCGCACTGGCGCAGTGTGGCACCGTGAGCCGCACGCCGGCCGCGAAAGTCCTTTTTCTGTTGGCGGAGGAGACGTGTCTCCAGCTCGCACTCCCCGAGTGACTCTTATTATTTTTTCCTTGAGCTCTTCCTTCACCCCTTCCTCCTCCTCCGCAGATAAATCAGTTTCAGCCGCGGAATATGTCAGCCCAGGGGAAGTTACACACGGTGGTTACTCATTTATTTGCCCATTGTAAACGGTCAAAGGCTTTCTCTCCTGAAAGGAAAGGGGGGTGGGGGTTGCACCTGGGAGTAAAAAGTTGTTGCTATTAGTGGCTGCTTTTTAATATCAGATACCCGCGTGTTTCCTGTCGTGTTGCCGGTTCCTCCTTTTTGTTTGTTTGACAGCGGGGATTGTTCTGCTGGCTTCTCCAGCACGCATTGTGCTCCGCGGTGTCGAGATTGACGGTGGGAGAAACAGATTAGATTAGTGGAGTCTTTCTCGTTGGGGAGCCAATGTTAGTGCGTGTTGGCTTTAATCCCTGCCCGCTTGCGTCGGCCTTCAGGGTGCCTGGTCTGGTTTGGGGTCTAGAGCGAGGCAGTGAGTTATTTTGATGTGGCTAACGGGGGCACGGTTCGGTAAGCATCAGTTAAAAGTGGGATCCCTGCTCTGGCTGACGTTGGGCTGATGATGCTGTTCCGGGGGCATCCTGGCGAGTGAGCAGAGCGCACGCAGCAGCCTCGTTTCTGGGGAGGCGGCGAGGAGGGACAGGCGCCCTCTGCCCGGCGTGCCTTCCTCACTACTCACAGCCAGCACCGTCCAGGGAACGGTTTATTCCGAAGCATCTTTGTGTGTGTTTGTTTAGTATGCTGGGATACTGAAAAAGGAGGTGACAGCCTTAAGGATAACAATGGACCTATTAAAAGGCTTCAGTGCTGTGATTCTCTCTAAATACGCACAGACACACACATAGGTACTTATTTATACCTGAATAGTTTGGGGTTTGGACAGTTCAGGAAAATAGGGGAGGGTTTTCTGGTTTGGAAGCTAGTGGGCAGTGATGAGTGAAGGGAACTCTTCTCAGAGGGGAGGGACTTGCTCTTGCTTTGCTGCACACGTAAGACATTGGGTTAGAAGAGATCATTTGCCTGAAGTACAAAAAAGCCTCTCACCTGGTATTGTCCCCTTTTATAACTTGTTTTTATGCCTTACCTCAAGAAAAATGGCCATGAGATTAACTTCTGATACCATTGTATGTGTTTTGACTTTGGGAATTCTGAATGACCTAGACTAAAAGATGCATCTTTGAACCCTGCCGCTTCAAGTGTATAACTTAATCCGGCCTCTCGTAAATCTGAAAAGAACAGGCGACATGAAACACAGTTAAATGCAGTGGAAACTGCTGTGTTCCAAGAAGGACTTTTGCAGGTTCTGAAGATTCTAACCCTTGTTTTGTTTCTTCTTAGTCTGTTTCTGGTGAAGGAAGTGCTCAGGGAACATTTACAGTAATCGAGTGTTGTGGCAGCAATATCCCATGTCACAGTATAGAGTTATTTTGGCAGTTTCGTGAGCCTTTCATTCCTCTGAAATGATGTGATCCCTCATAGCTTCCTTTTTTCTGGCAACACCCTGTGTGCTTGGTATTCGCTTTGAAATGCTTGGAAGGGTTTGTTGACATGATTATATCTCAATTAGTTTCTCTAGAAACACTTTTTATTTTACAGGCCTGTTTTCAACTATCAATATTGTGTGTCCAGGGCACTTCCTTTAAAAAAAAAAATACTGAAAACAGCAGTCAACTTGCATTCTAAATCTGTGAAACCAAAGTAAGGACAGTGTTACCTGGCATGATATAATGGTTGGATTTAGACAGATATTTTCAATCGTGTGTTTACAATTTCAGTGTTTTCACTTAACGACAAGATTTATGGAAAGCATGGGATAAGTGATACCCCAACCGCCCCCCGCCTGCCATTTTTAAAAAAAGAATTAGAGGAGCCTTCAGATGTCAGCAGTTACCTAGAAGGTATTGATTATCTCTTGTTTTTCTGTGAGTTTACAAGAAATTTCGGAATGGCCAGTGTTTCCCTCAGTTTCCATTTTTATTCAGAAATTCACGTGGTGAAGCATGGTTATCATAACTAACATGAATAGGAATCAATATATTTTATTCATGTTGAAGTCTCTTTTGCTGCAATTTTTGCACTAAAATGACCCCTACTGGTTGTATCTGTTAATGAAAACTCTTGAAAACTTATTTAATTGGCTACGTTGTAAAAACATATTGCATGTTATAGAAATATTATCATGACTAATCTCCCTGCTTTCGATGACATAATTTAAATACAAATTATATTCTCTGTTTGCCAACTTGCAGTAATTTTTAGCAGTGTTTACTCTCATACTGGCTTTGTAGGGGAAAAAAATTACGTTTTTAACTGCAGTTCACAAAATGAGTTAGATAAATCATGGGCAGAAATGGGCCCCTTTCAGCTTGTGGCTCACAGCCTTAGGTTTTTAAGGCATGCTGGTCTAGTTGGCTCTCAGTAAAAGTACATTGAACAAACGGAAGAACAATCCTATCCATAGAAAGAATGCTGAAGGAAAAAAAATATTTTCTGAATGATTAAATAATGTGATGAGTTGTGTCCTGTGCACCATGTGAGATGTGCACTTGGATTTCTTTTCCGCATTGTTTAGATTGTTATTAAATAAATTCTAATTGAATTATTCCTTTTGTGGTGGGGGCTGGGGGTGGTAAGTGCATTTGAAAAAATGAGCATGGAGCCTGATACCTAAAAGTTTTTCCTACTTTCTGTCAGTCTAGAAAGTGCTTTTTGGAACTTAGGAGAGTGCAGGTCTTTTTCCTCTTTCCATTCGTCTGCTAAGACCTCCTGTTGCTCTTTGCAGCATCCTAACTGGCCTGTTTTCTTGGCCAGGCTGCCTGCCTCCAGGAAAATCACCTAGAAGCCAGAGAAACAAGTGTGGATCCTGAACCCCTGAGAAAGAAATCTGGATGGAAGACATCTTTGGAGGATCGAAGGCAGAGTTTAGAAAAATTAATGAAGTGAGATTTTCTAGAAAGAAGATTTTGATTGGACAGTGAGAATTATGTTTTGAGCTAAGGGGTTGAGAGCCATTTCTTCTCCCATGTGTCATAGCGCTTTATGCTTCTATAAGGAGTGAGGCAAGGTGAGAGAGCATGACCAGCCTCTCTGGGCAGTTAAAGGGCAGATGGTGACTTGCTTTGGCAGTTTGTACAGACAGAGTGATGAGGAACCAGGTGGAGACTACTTGAGTCACTGTTCCGAGGACTCTGTTGTATTAGATTCAGGTGATAGCTAGATCAGATAAGCACCAATTTTTTTCTTGGTGACTATTTACTCAGTAGCTTCATATTTTGGAACTTAGCATTCCATCTTTTTCACCATTGCTATCTAAAAACGACCTCTTTCAGAACGCAATCCTCCTTTTATTTCCCCCAGGAATTTTAACTGTTCCTTTTACCCATTTTTCATTGGGCAGTGTGTAAGAGAACTATGTATACATAGTGGGGTACTTACAGCAAAAAACAGAATTTTGTTTCCTGAAACTTGCCATGCAAAGTTTCTTTGCTTATCCCTGGAAGACAGTCAGTGAAGATGATGGCTGCTTGGAAGAAAATGTATGCGGGATCTGCTCCAGAAAGCAGGCTGCAGGAGGCCAGATAATGAACCCAAACATTTCATTCTGCACAAGCCGCATGGAAACTACTCTCACCACTCTGTAGTAGGGCCTGAAGTTAAGAGTCCACGAATTTTAATTCACTCATTAAGTAACGGGAGGGGGGCAAAATATCAGCTTCTATAGTTAGAAAAATTAAGCTCTTGGCTTTGTTTTGGAATAATGGGTTTCATTTTTCCTCTCAGAAGTCCTTAGGTAGACAGGGAGCCCTTAGATCCCAGAGAGGAACAAGCAGAGGGCCTATAACATTATGTTAACAGGGAATGGGAAGAGAAACCAACGAAGTAAACAAGGAAATAATTAGTTCCTCCCAAAAGTAAATATTGGCAAAACATGGAGAGACCAACTATTCACTGCACTTAAATAAATGACAGGACTCAGTGACCTTCACTTTGATTGCCAGGCTTATAGAATCTTCCCTGTTATTGAGGAGTCCTGTCACATAAAACACTTGGCAAAGGGCAGATGGATTGTGTATTATCAGAATGGCAAAAATAGCAAGTCTGGAGATATTTGTTGCCATTCACACATATTGTACACTGACCAGGAAAATCTCCAAGCAAGAGGTTGGCAGTAGGGTTGTAAGCAGTCAGATTAATATATGAAGAAAACTGAACAGTCCTTAATCTGTGTAGGCATTACATCCATTTGTAGGAGGTATTTGGTGACTTGGTACAGGTTTCTTTGTTTTGTGTGGTTTGTTGAAGATGCAATGACCGGGATGAATGAGTGAACAGCTGGGTGAGGCAGGGGATGGGCATTATGAAGTTGGGGGATATATTGTAGATGAAACAGATGACCCTAAGGAGGTAATGAGGGGGTGGACTAAAGAATGACGAATGGGAGAAGGGAAAATATTGAATTCATCTTAGCACAAGTATATCATCCTTTGAAGAATAATCCAAAACACATTCCAGACATTAATTGTGAAATTCCTGAAAAATGTGGGTGTGCTTAACATCTCCCAGGCTATGGTGCAAGCAGAGATGATAGTGTTGCTTTAGCCTGTAAATACAAGAGGGTAGGAGGTGGTAAAATGAGTGGAAGGGAAATACATTTAGTGAAGCGGGTTCCTGTAACACTGTGTTCCGTATGGCACGTTTGGTATCAGGATTTTGGAGACACCCCAGTAAAGCTCATTTAATTATTTGAGGGAGAAACAGTAGACTAGCCAAGCATGCATGAATAACACATTGAAAGCTTTCCTTCTCAGAGGTCTAATTCTGCAAAGCTGCATTTTCAAAGATCTGACTTGCCTTTGCATGGAAATCAGTCATTCATTCATTGGTCTTCTATGCTGTACAAGGCCTTCTGCTGGGGTGAGGGGGAAACTAGGGAGCCCGGGGACCTCTCCAACATATTCTTTGCTCTGTACACTTAATCAAGATAAGAAATAAAGACAGCAAGACTGCAAAAAGTCTATTATGTAGACTTGCAAAAAGTCTACATAATAATATAAATTCAAGCCAAGTAGAAGTGATTTTGCAAGTCTGTGTATGATTAATTGGCTAGTGAAATATATGGATAAAATTAGTTGTAGGAATTAAAGCATCTGAAGTGATCTCTTGAGGCTCTGGTGGCAAAGCAGAAAGGGGAATTTGAATTTGAACTAGGTTTAAAAGTGTGAGTAGTAGCCCTTTCTTTTGGCAGGGGAGGTGATCCTACCCATTCTCCTTAGAGCCTGTGCAATTGGTCTCAGTGTTTCTCAACATCTAAGAATGAAGCTGCATTCTTAATGCTTTAGTAGCTGTGCTTCAAAACGGCAAGTTTCCTTTTGAGAGTGATTTTCTCTTTGTTCTAGCTTGTTTCACTAGGCGGATAAGCGTGGGCAGTAAACTGGGAGGTGTCCCTTTATCAGCACCTCTCAGCTTCACCCACCCTGCTGCTTGCCCTGGGCAGTAGCCTGGTCACATCTTTGAAAACCTCTGTTTAGTCAAGACTTCCTAAGTCAAGACAGAGGAATGGTTGAATATACCTCTATGTAAGAATACCCTCAAGGTAAACACTAAACTCTTACGTGTTTTATCTTGGGCCCACATGAAAAAAGTAAATGTTTTTAAAGAACCTATTTTCCTTTGTTAGTTGCAAAGTGAACAGGTATCAATTCCTTACCTCCCTCCTCCAGTCCCAGTTAATTCCCCACATGAAAATACCTACATGTTGGTGGAAAAGTGTAATGTTCAAGAACTTGGGGCCGGCCGTGGTGTCTCATGCCTGTAATCCCAGCACTTTGTGGGGCTGAGGCAGATGGATCGCCTGAGGTCAGGAGTTCAAGACTAGTCTGGCCAACATGGTGAAACCTTGTCTCTACTAAGAATACAAAAAAATTAGCCAGGCTTGGTGGCAGGCCCCTGTAATCCCAGCTACTAGGGAGGCTGAGGTGGGAGAATTGCTTGAACCCAGGAAGCAGAGGCTGCAGTGAGCTGAAATCGCACCACTGCACTCCAGCCTGGGCGACAAAGCAAGACCCTGTCTCAAAAAAAAAAAAAAAAAAAGAACTTGGTTTCTGGGGTCAAATCTGCACTCTGCTTCTGTGTGTCTCAGTTTTCTCATCTGTGTAGTCAGGTTAATGATAGGGTTGCTATAAGGACT